>NC_000006.12:93511402-93662341 GCF_000001405.40 Homo sapiens | reverse complement strand
TTTTAGTTAACCAAGTAAATAAACTAGTAGAATCTTTGTAAATCCCTGAGCTGCAACATTTAATTCAGAATCTCTGTTTAGTGAGTCGATATCAATAAATTCAGCCTGATCCAACTTTATGATCCTATCACCATTATCCCAAACCCTTAACATCCATTGCCATATCTGTTCTCCAGATTTCTGCTTATATAAATTAGAAAACTCAAGCAGTTCTATTGGAGTGTAGTGCACCTCCTCATGGGTAACACCCTGAACCTCACCTTTAGGGTCCTACTGGGTCTTGAGTCTAGTTATAGGTCTAGAAACAAAGAGGCATGGTGGGGGTGGGTCCTGAAGATAATCTGCATTGTCTTGACTGGCAACTGCCTCAGGTGAGGCCATCACTGTGGTCTCAAGCAGTGCAGGGTTAATCTCCTCAGACAAAGGTGGAAAGGCTGATGGCAGTGTGGGTGGGGGAGGGGATGTTGCCACCACTGAGCATGGGGAGGCTGTTTCCTCTGGCAAAAAAGTCTCATCACTATTTAGAAGTTCAGTGTCCTCAGCTTCATTAGGGTCCTCTCACACATCCTCATGCCAAGTTACAGGGTCCGGTTGTTACCCAATCAATGACTTCACTTTAACAATAGACACCTGGTAAGGTTGAGCCGACACTTTTTTGTTGTTGTACCTCCGCCACTCACATGATAAGATCTTGCATCTTATTTTCAGCAATTTCAGCCCTTTGTCTATAGAAGAGAAGAATCTCACCCCGGACACTCTTAGAAGCTTTGAGGCAAAGTATGTTCTTCTAGAGCCAGGAGATATAGTCTCTGAACTCATCCTTTTCTTTCATCACTCTGTCCAGTGAATTTAGGAGCAAACAACCGACTTCATTATACTCCTTGGTTCTCTGCAAATGTTCAAAGGTATTATGTATAGAGTCACTAAACTTGCCTCTCAGGAGCACTGAATCAGGAGTATCAAATATCTTTATTTTGCACAACTCTGTAAACAATGCATGCCAAAGACTCAGTGCTCTCTGGGCTATTAGAAGAAGAGTCTTTAGCATGTTTAGGTCTAATCAGATTAGAAAGCCAACTCCAGATACCCCAAAATCAACTAAGAAAATTCATTCTTAAATTTCTTTCCTAATAACCAGTCCTGGTACCAAAATCTGTATTAGGGTTCTCCAGAGGGACAAAACCAATAGGATACATGTATATACAAAAAAGAGTTTATTATGGTGTACTGGCTCCCAAGATTACAAGACAAAGTCCTATGATAGGCTGTCTGCAAGCTGGGGAAGAGAGAAGCCAGAAGTGGCTCATTCCAAGTCCGAAAGCCTCAAAACCAGAGAAGCTGACAGTGCAGCCTTCAGTCTGCAGCCGAAGGACCAAGAAACTTGGGAAGTTGCTAGTGCAAGTCCCAGAGTCCAAAGGCTGAAGAACCTGAAGTCTGATGTCCAAGAGCAGAAACAGCAGAAGCAAGTGTCCAGCATGTGAAGGAGAAAGAGAGCCAGAAGATTCAACAAGTAAAGTTATCCTACCTTCTTCCTCCTGCTTTGTTCTAGCCAGGCTGGCAGCAGCCAATTGGATGGCCCCCACCCACATGATGGGAGAATCTTCCTCTCACATCCCACCAACTCAATGTCAGTCTCCTCTGGCAACACCCTCACAAACTCACCCAGAAACAATACTTTACCAGCCATCTAGGCATCCCTCAATCCAGTTAAGTTGACACCTAACATTAATTGTCGCAAATGGTAAATATACGTATTTAAATGCTCAAATATTTTACAGGTTAGCTCTAAAATCTAAAGAGGTCAGCCATTATGCCTATTTCTTTTTGAAGGGTACTTAGAAACTCCATGGAATTTTCAGACCCGTATTTATCTTAATAAATCAACTATGGTGCTTCCTACTTCCTTCATACCTGTTGCAATTAGTATAATGTAATGGATCAGGAAATAGTCTATAGAATTCCAAAAACAAAGAAAGAAGTTTTCTCCATACTAGGTTAGAACAGAGAGCAAAAGAGTTAACAAAGACCTGATATAAGATGGTAAGTAGTGCTGCTGCTCCTGATACATGAAGGCACACTATTTCTGATTGTGTTAACTGGTTGGAAGTTAAAGACAGTAATTTCTAAGGTAATAGCATACGAGAAGCTAACACATCTGTTTATTTGCTCATCATATCCAGAACAACAAATACAATTGTTGTATTATTTGAGTAATATTGTTATAATCCAGAGTCATTCTCTAAGATTATTCTAATTTTTTTTCAGAATTCAAACAAAAAGTTAAATAAGGATAAAATAGATAATGCTGGTTTTACAAATAGATAAAAAATATCCACTCCATTATCTCTTAAATCCTTGATGGTGGCACTAATCTCTGCAATTCCCACCAGTTATGTAGTGTTGCTTTTGATTTAGTATCTTGAGGAAGGATGCCATGAGAGAAAAATATATAGAACATTTCTGCAATAATAGCCCTCATTCCATAGGACAGAGAACTAATGAGAGGACTCTGCATTTACCAAATATACATATTTACTCAAAATATTCCAAAACTAGGGAAATAGGAAAAAAATAATTCTAATCAATTTAGTACAAGATTGACTTTGCCAAGATTCCATCTCACACTTGATATCCATTAGTCCTTAATTGAACCACTGGATCACATTGTTTCATTCAGATCTGGTATCTAACAACAACATACGGTCTGGTTTTTTGCTTTTTCTCAGTCACATTATTAAGGGATTATAGCCTCTGGAGAGAACATGAAGAAAGATTCACAGTACAGAATTTAGGCTCTTTTCTAGGGTCTTTCCTCAAAGAGGACTGGTCTCCCTGTCAATCAAATCATTCTGGGTCTGTGAGATAGTTTATGTTTTAGAATTGAATAAGAGGCCATGAACCCCACTGCAGTACTTCAAGTCTTATTTTTGCTCAATAGACCTGAAAATTTTCTGCTTTTATAAGTTAAATAATGCATTAGGAGGCTGCCCATCTATTTCACTCTCAGGAGCCTTGGGAATAATTAGCCACAGCTATAGACCTCTGTGGCTAATTATGGTAATTGTGTCCAAAGGTTATGGGCCACCACCTGACCCCTGCTACTGTGGGATACCATAATCCACTGGGGAACCTAATTCCATGGTAGCAGAGCTGACTGTCCTCTCTAGATTATAGACAACAATCACTGTAGTCTTTTTTTTGTTTTGTTTTGTTTTTTTATGATTTCTGATATTCCCCTCAGCAATGCAGCTCTTAAAGCTTTGGGAAAAAGTATTTCCTACATGCTGAAAATTGTCCTGGTGTAGAAGTGATCTCCACCTGGAAGAGGCCCTGATTTGACTGTCTGTGCTATGCTTAGATCTAATTCTCATTTTAGGGATGGAGTCTGTGAAGAATGTTGAGAGTAGGTACTCAAGAGAATCCACATATCTTTATGAAGTATCTGTACTAGGTGACATCATGAAGAGTTGTTTTGTTTTGCTTTGTTTAGTTTTGTTTAATATAAGAGATTAGTTCTCTTAGGCAGAAATGGGCAGGTAGGATGGTAGGAGAGGATACTTCCACCAAAAAAGTATGTTCAGGAAGACTTGATAGTTCTAATTCTGTGCCCCATCGGTGTCTGCCTAACTGACCCCAAAGCACATCTTAGGGTCTTGGTTCTTCCCAATTGCCACTCCTGCCTTAGCATGAGACCTAGTTGGATTGTGCATTTTGGATCTGTGAATCTAAAGCTTTCACTATCAGGCTTTATTCCTGTTTACCTTATGACTACATGAGATGGTTGACTTCTCTGCCCACTTCCTGAGCTGGGAATATGTGTCCATTCAAATTCCAACATCATATTTAGAAAGCCTACTTCTGACAGTCATTACTGTATTGACTAGAGTCCTTGAAAGAAACAAATGACAAACTTAAAAGGGTAATTGATGAGCTTTTAAAGAAGCATGTGTTTGCATATTTATTCTCTGTGCCCCTCCGTCTTTACTTTTCATAGCTCTCCATGGGTGCTCAGACACATACTCTATACCAATGGCTCCTGATGCCCTCTAATTTCTGGTTAGTCCAACAATCAGAAACCACTAACAATAGATAATACAATGGAAGAGAGTAAAGCTGAGGATCCACTCCCCTGGTTTCCTGCCTTCCCAGTCACCATGGGTTCTATATGTTCTTCTACAAAACACCAAAGTTTATCTCAGGCAGTCTTCACTACCAGCTCTCTCTTTCTTCAAGTTAAATAAAAACTTTATTCCCTCCATTCTTCAGGTCTACAATCTGGCAAGAAAGAGGAGAAATAAATACTGTGACCTTGCTCTCCTTTCACCTCCAATATCTTGTTCTCATTGGTCAAATCCATCTAGTCGTAAGAAAACAAAGGAACTTGAGTGATGCTATAAATAGAGGTCAGCTTTCTAGAGCAGGGAACAGGGTTTTTTAAGTGGGCAAAGAATGGATCTAGAGAAGCAAATATAAAACAATCTGTGCCTAATTTCAGCAGCAACTTCCACTCTTGAGTTTACCTTGTGGTTCAAGAAAGCTACATCAGTTATATCTGTAATATCCACACATTAGCTAGTGGGAAAGAAAAAGGAGAGAAATAGTGGAACCATTCCTTCTTTTAAAAAAATATTTTACAGAAATCTCAAATAACCCTTTAGTATAGTTTGGATATTTGTCCCTTGAAACTCCATGTTAAAATTGGATCCCCTAACTGGCTAGCCATATGCAGAAGACTAAAACTGGACCCCATTCCTTTCACCCTGTACAAAAATTACTTCAAGATGGATTAAAGACTTAAAAGTAAGACTTAAAATTTTAAAAATCCTAGGAGAAAACTAGGAAATTCCATTCTAGACATAGGCCTTGGCAAATATTTCATGATAAAATCTCCAAAAACATTTGTAACAAAAACAAAAATTGATAAGTGGGACCTACTGAAACTAAAGAGCTTCCTCAAAGCAAAGGAAACTATCAACAGAGAAAAAAGGCACAAAATGGGAAAAAATATTTGCAAGCTATGTATCTGACAAAGGTCTAATATCCAGAAAATATAAGGAACTTAAATCAAGAAGCGAAACACAAACAACCCACTTAAAAAATAGGCAAAATACATGAACAGACACTTCTCAAAGAAGACATACATTCAGCCAATGGGCATATGAAAAAAAATGCTCAACATCACCAATCATTAGATAAATGCAAATCAAAACCACAATGAGATAACATCACATAGCAGTCAGAATAGCTATTATTAAAAAGTCAAAATATAACAAATGTTGGCAACATTGCAGAGAAGAGGGATCAATTATACACTGTTGTTTTGAAAGTAAATTAGTTCAGCCACTGTGGAAAGCAGTTTGAAGATTTCTCAAAGAACTTAAAATACAGCTACCATTTGACCCAGCAATCCCATTGCTGCAATATACCCAAAGGAATTAAAATCATTCTACAAAAAGGCACATGCATGCATGTGTTCATCTCAGCACTATTCACAATACCATAGAAATGGAATCAATCTAGATGTCCATCAGTGTTGGAATGGATAAAGAAAATGTGGCATGCATACAACATGGAATACTATGCAGTCATAAAAAGAGAAAAATTATGTCCTTTGAAGCAGCATGGCTGCAGCTGGGGAGCATTATACTAAGCAAATTAATGCATGAATAGAAAACAAAATACAGCATCTTCTCCCTTGTAAGTGGAAGTTAAATACTAAGTATGCATGGAAACAAAGAGCGGAACAAAAGACACCCGGGGCCTACTTGAAGGTAGGGGGTGGGAGAAGGTTGAGGGTCAAAAAACTACTTATTGGGTACTGTACTCACTACCTGAGGGAAGAAGTCATTTGTACACTAAACCCCACTGACATGCAATTTACCCACGTAAGAAACCTGCACGTGTAATCCCTGGACCTAAAATAAAGTTGAAAAAGAAATAAATAAATAAATAACAGTTTTTAAACACACAAAAAAACAACAAAATGAATTGATCCTCAGTATTGGAGATGGGACCTAGTGGAAGGTTTTTGGGTTACAAGGGTGGATCCCTCATGAGTGGCTTGGTGCCATTCTCCTGGTAGTGAGACTTACTAGTCACCACTGTACTGGTTTCTATTAAAATCAGTAGTTAAAAAGAGTTTGGTATCTCCCCACTCTCTCTCTCTCTTTCTTGCTTCATTTCTCACCAGGTGATCTCTACAAACTGCAGCTCTCGTTTGCTTTCTGCCATGAGTGGAAGCAGTGTGAAGACCTCATCAGACACCCAATCTTGAACTTTTTCAGACCTCAGAATTATCACCCAAATAAATCTCCCTTTTTAAAAATATATTACTCACTTTCAGGTATTCCTTTGTAACAACACAAAATGGACTAAGACACTCTTATACTTAATATAATCATATGGTTGCAACTGGCTACAAAAGAAGCTGAAAATGTGGTCTTTCAGTGAAGCGCATGTCCATCCCAAATAAAATCAGGTTTTTGTTACTAAAAAGGAAGAGAAGAACAGATGTTGATACTGTTGGTCAAGTATCAGTCTTTGACATAGAAATTCATTACTGTACCTATGGAATATATTAATAGATATATCAGATTGGTAAATTGGAAGATTTATGTTGAGAAGTTGTAAACAGAAATGCATGGAGTTCACCTGGTAGCAGCCATTAGATGCCAAGCTAAGGAGACATAAACCCAGTCTTCTTTTTCATAGATATGGTAGTAGGGGCTGAGGGTATGTTTCTTTGCCTAAAGGAAAAGGGTAACAGCATTGGTCCCGTCAGTGGTCTTCTGAGCTTTCTATGACTTCTCAAAGGTAGAAGACACAGAGGGACACAAAATGGCTTGATATGAACTGTAAGGTGTTCAGGACTATGGCCAGGGAGGCTTTCAAGAGGACTGTATGCTGTGAGGTTTCCATGATAGGGTAGAAACACATCCCACCTCATTCCATTATGTCACACACAATAAACATCTCCAACTAATCCCAGTAATCTGCCAAAAAACCTAAGTTGGGCTTAAACATCCCTCATAATGTAGTGTCTAGGTGGCTGCTAAATATTGATTAGCATTTTGAGATGTACTGGCCATCCAGGATGTAGTGAAAAAGTATGTGCTGCAGCTTAAGTGAGTCTTGAGTTTAAGTCCTCCTTCCTCTGTTAGAATTGCCAGTTGTCTTGCGGCTACTTAAGTTGTCTGTGTCTCATTTGTTTTGTTGTTAAAATTACAGCACTGATTTTTATCATTGCTAGGTGTCCTTAGCAATGATAAAATGAGTAAAGGAGTGAACACATATGATGTTCCTAGTAAACAGAAGTACTTATTAGTAATTCCTGACCTTCTCCCTTTCCAGCTTTCTCTTTCTTTTCTTTCTTTCCTACCCGCTTTCTTTAACCTGCTTCACTGTAATCTCACGAAACATCATTGCTATAGTCCATACTTCACCTCACAGATTCAAAGCTTTTAAGTTTCCTGACTTTAAGAAAATATAAAAATGCTGGAAACACCATTGTACGTCCTCATGCTATCCAAAACAAGGGAAAACATTACTAGAGAAGATATGAAAAGGATCTTTGAACACCTTGGGAAAATGCTGACTCAAATATTTATGCAAAATCTTGTAACATTAGCTATATAAACAAATTTAAAACAACTTTCATTAGAGATAATAAATATGGCAATTTCAATTCTGTTTTTATGGATTTTGTTTTCCAAATATAAAAGATTTTGAAGTCTCTAAGAATTTCAGTAATTGAGTTTGTGTTCTGTGCCCTTTTGGGGTCTATTCTAAATCTGATAGGTAGGTTATTTTTTGACTTCATTAATATTTCCTCATTAATCATTTGAAAAGATTTAACAGTGCCAGAGGGGAATGATCTTTTATTTTTTTCTTAGTCTTATTTACTATTCAAACAACCATTTGTTTGATTTTAGTTTTATTCAGTGATTCCAAATTGGTCAATAAAATGCTAATGATTACCAACATACTATATTTCTCACTTGGAGATCATCATTTAATTCTAGCAAATGCCAGTTGGATACTTGTTAAAACAGCAGGAACAACTAATTCATATATTCGAGCTAAATAAATAATGTTTGATTGCGTATTTGTTCCACTCAGCTCTGATAACTGGTACTGTTAGAGAGGTGCTTCATACACACTACCTTGAAAATGCCTGATAATCAGGTTACACTGATAAAATCAATATGTCAAAATGGTCTTAGGTGCCTAACTAGCCCATGTTTATGTCTACCATTAATGGACTTTAGACCTCAAAATTCACATTCTGAAATTCTAGGGCAGCTCTATAAGGCCCAGTAAGGTCTCCATAATAGGGACCTTCAGGAACTTATCAGCAACTCAATCTTCCCCAAAGGGTCTCCTGTGTGCATAAGCTCACTCCCATCCACTCACAATTCAAAAATACTTCTGGGATGAAAAATAATACTAGAACTTTACAACATGATTTCAATTGCTTTAACTAAAGGTGAATTGAGGGAAATAGTGTTCAGTTTGAAACAGAATTCCAAAGAGCCTCTACTTTGAAACGTTTTTGGATTTCATGGGGAAATCTATACTTTCATAAATTCAACTTTGAATCGGTTGGTGTAAAACACTCCTCAGTGTTTACTTTTGGGAAAGACAACCACTGTTATCATTTGTGAAAAACTCATACAACTAGCATCCCAATGTAGTCGTCCTGTCTTCTATTTACATAAGATCAACAAATATCCATGCATTTTCCCTAGTAGGGTCTTATTTTGTAGCTTCACTTTACAATGGTTAAGAAAGTATATAAAACCAAAAGTTCAGTTGCTTATCTTGATGTTTTATCAAATTTCACACAAAAAATTATATAAATGTGTTTTTTATTTGTAAAAGTTGGCGTAATTCTACGAAAAGTAATCTGGATTGTAACAGAATAGATAATTTAAATAAATGCAAAAGTGAGATGTCATGAACCTCTTATCCAGATTTGAAGAGAATACATTTTTTAAAAAGTGAAGATTTTCTATAAATATTTTTAACATGTCCAATAAGGACACCCAATGATTCTCTAGTTGGTGATTACTTTCTACTCTTTACACTTGCCAAGTGACACTCTTTACAGGAGTGACTCTCTCTCCTTCTGCAATATCACTAATATTCACATAGAACATTCTTAAAACAGGTTCTTTAATATAATTTACATTTAACAACTCTTCTCCCTAAAGAGTCTCCGTGTTTGTTAGCAATCAGACAGTTTCTAATGTCAAAGTGAAAAAAGCTGTAAAAGAGTAAGTGTACAAATCTTTACATAGGGCTCCTCTTGACATAGTAGGAAGTAGACATGAAGATTTTAAAGTTGCAATATATACACTAAAAATGGTTCTAATATTTCCTTCTTATAAATATGAATTTTCTATTGGTACAGTATTTGATTAATGTTCTGACTGTAGTTTTAAATTCCAAAGCACCAATGTCAGCAATGTTATCACATTCCTATACTTACATGAAGAATGATTACCCTCATCTGGGGTGACTGGCCAGGCCATATTGATGACACTATGCAAATTCCCAGTTGGTGGCCGATTAATATTCAGTTACTACTAAGTAGTCAACTATCTGTTAAGTTATTCAAATATGAAATGGTTTGCTTAATATGTATTTGTGTACAGAATCATTATGACGGTTTCTTTGGCATAATTTGAGTGAGAAAACATTGAACTAGCTTTACTTTACACTGGAAAAAAACAGGGATGATCCTAAAACAGTTGCATCAGAAGTTATCAAAGTTTTTAAACGGAAAAAATATTGAGTACAAACAATATAAAAGCATATAAAAGGGATGGGGAGCATATAAGAAGGACTGAGGACAAACGATATTAAAGCATATAAGAGGGGACAGGAGTAAACTGAAAAGGCTAAAATGTGAGAAATAAGTGTTAAAATAAAAAGCTGACAGATAACAGGCTAACAAATGCATATTGAACGTATATCATTTGCTGAACAACATGTTTGACCCATGTTCAATAATAAGTGCTTTACCATTTCAAATAGACATGCCAAAAGATAGCCATTTATACCTCTGCATTTTATTTGTTATTCTGTGGGTTTGAGAAGAAATGAAAACAACACTTCTGGCTGGGCAAGGTGGCTCACGCCAGTAATCCCAGCACTTTGGGAGGCCAAGGTGGACAGATCACCTTTGCCCAGGAATTCAAGACCAGCCTGGACAACGTGGCAAAACCCCATCTCTACTAAAAATACAAAAAACTATCCCGATGTGGTGATGCATACCTGTAGCCCCAGCTACTTTGAGGGCTGAGGTGGGAGGATCACCTGAGCCAGGCAGGCAGAGGTTGCGGTGAACCTAGGTCCTGCCATTGCACTCCAGCCTGCGCAACAGAGTAAGACCCTGTTCCCCCAGTGCTCCTTCCTGCCCCCCCCAAAAAAAAGAAAGTAACATTGCTTATCATTTGAATCTTCAGAAAACAAAGAGTTAAAAGAAAATTCTATCCTAGTGCTTTGTATTTATGCAGCCCAAATAAAGACTCCAAGGCTGCAGTGTACATCATACATTATCTATTTGTGTACTCGCTGTGAGCTGAAAATCATAGGATTTTAAATAGCTGCCATTAGTTTAGCACCTTTTTTGTGAAGAGTCAGTCTGTAGTGCATTACAAATATTAACAATTCTAGAAGCTAGTTATAAGTAACCCTTTTATACAACCAATGACTCTCAGATTCAGAGAATTAAGTAAGTTTTCTAAGCTCCCATGGATCACTTAGTTGTAGTTCATAACTTTTTATCTTTTTTTTCTCTCCCATTCCATAAAATACTTTATGCAAACTTTAAATCAAGTTCACATAAGACAATATATAAGAGGTTAAAGTCACCCAGGCAAAGACAAGACCAGATAGCACTAATTTAGATACTAAAGAAAATTTAAAAAAAAAAACTACAAAATGTTGACATTATAATTAAAGAGATACAATAGAGCAGGCATCAAAGCTGCTTTGCATTTACTTTTCAGTTTTTTAAAAATTTTTCTTTAATTCTTTAAAAATACAAAATGTTTACTAAGTGCCAGGCATTGACCAGGCCCTGAGTAGGTAGTGGTGAATAAATGAAATGGGTAGAGTCCCCAGATATATGGAGCTTACAGACATGAAACAGATATATACATAAATAACTACATAATGACAGAACAGTATATGCTAGGAAGATAAGGAGAGAGTGCGCAAATGATAATGAGGTAAGAGCAATTATAAAATGAAAACTTTGATAAAAATTCATTGAAAATAGGATTTTCATATGACCACTGTATTAGTCTATTCTCATAATGCTAATAATCACATACTGGAGATTAAGTAATTTATAAAGGAATGAGGTTTAATTGACTTACAGTTCAGCATGGCTGAGGAGGCCACAGGAAATTTACAATCATGGTGGAAGGGGAAGCAAACACATCCTTCTTCACATGATGGCAGGAAGGAGAAGTACAGAGCAAAGTGTGTGTGTGGGGATCCCTTTATAAAACCATCAGATCTTGTGAGAACTCACTCACTACCACGAGAACAGCATGGAAGTAACTGCCCCCTTAATTCAATTACCTCCCACTGGGTCCCTCCTAGGATACATGGGGATTATGGGAACTAGAGTCCAAGATAGGATTTGTGTGGAGACACAGCCAAAGCATGTCATTCTACCCTGGGCCACTACCACATCTCATGTTCTCACATTTCAAAACACAATCATACCTTCCCAAGAGTCTCCCTAAGTCTGGATGTCCAGACTTCTCTTCTTTGTCTGGCTCTGTTCCTTTTCCCCTCCTTATACTTTACTCCCTATTCCCCAAATTAGAAAGAGGCAGATTTTCAGGTTACTCTCCCTTTCTCAAGTTCTCCCACCACCAGTAAGCAGCACCTGTTGCCAAAATGGAAAGAGAACTTTTTTCAGCAACAAGAAACTGTAAAATAAGTCCTAAGCCCTTCCCCTTTGTAAATATAAAGGTGGAAATAAAGTAATAGAGATTATTTTATCTCAGTAAAATTCACTACCACACAATTGCTTGCTGCAAAATCTCACTTATGAAGACTGGAAGTGAAATGTATTTTCTATATTTCTCACTGTCTTCATTCAGCAACAAATCCTAATCTACACAGCACACTGCCTAGATCCTGAAGCAGACTGGTCCTTCAAGAATGATAGATCAAAGGTCACATAATCAGAAAGACAAAAAAGAAATATTCTGTAACAATTTTTAAATTATTACATTAAGTTTGGATAATTTGTAAAGCTTGTCTTGAATAAAAATGAAAGCAGTTTGCCCTATAATGTGAGCAGTAGAAACAGTGGGAAATACAAGAGCAAAATGGACAGAAATATAGCAATAGATATTGTTTAATGTAACCCTAATTCTTTGAAAGTTACATATATTTTAGCTCTTTATAAATTATTTGAATTGAAATTCACCATATCAGGAAACACAAGCATACTTCTATCACTAAAACACTTAAGGAATATTTCTTATATTTTGTAGGAGCTTTGGAAAGACTGTGTTCAATGTTATCCTTCTGATTTTATTTTTGAAAACCTATAATATTTAGATAATAGACTCTTCCATGGCAGCCAAAAATAAAAGAAATTGTCAACTTTCCTGTCTCAATTACAATTCAGTACCAATGTTTTTGTTTACACTATTCTATTTGTGTTCATGTTTCCCCATTGCTGTTTTTGCGGACCACAGTATCAAAAATACTCGTTGATTTGCATGTAAATTTTATCTGATGATGTTAAAGAAGTACTGTTTTCTATCACCTAATGATCCAAATTTTAAGACAGAAATTACACTTTATATATATATATATATATATATATATATATACACACATAAAAATATGTATATGTGTGTGTGTATATATATATATATTCTGATGGATTCTATAGGATACCAAGCACATAAATTGAAAGATTAAAATTTCATATTAAGTTACAGTCAACAAGTGTTTATTGAGCACTTATATGTCGGGTATTTTTCTAGACATTTGAACTAACAGCAATGAGCAAGTCCAACTAAAGCCCTACTTTCATGGGGCTTATCATCCAGTTTGAGGAGACATAGAATAAACAAAATAAATTAGCAAACTATTTTTGTATTATAAAATAATAAATGCTTTGCATGGAAAAAAAAAGAAAAAGGGAAGGAGGATCAGGAACTCTGGGCAAGAATGTTACCTTAATTAGGAAGTGCCACCTGAACAAAAAAATTAAAGGTGGTTATAGAGCAAGCCTGCGAGTATCTGAAGGAAGAACCTTCCAGGAAGATAGAGAAGCAAGTGCAAAAGCCCTGAGGGAAGTGTGCCTGTGAAAGAAGCACACTCCAGATCAAATAGAGCCCCGTGCGTTGGAGCAGGGAGTCTCACTGCAAAGCTGGTCTGCTCTGCTACTGTCAGACACATGCAGAGGTGAGTGTACTTTAATAAAAATACCTTTTTTTCCAGAAATGGGTAAGGCTTCCACTTGTTCCACGAGGCTTTCCATTCAAAGATTATTGGGCGTTACCTATGCAGCAGGCATTATATTAGTCTCCTGGTGAGTGAATAATACATAATTTTGGCCTTAAAATGTTGTGACTCTCAAATTTCAATTGATGAGAAACACCTGGGAAGCTTGCTAAGACTATATACTACTGAGTCCCATCCTAGAATCACTAATTTCAGAAGTTATCGAGTGGAAGAGGAGTCTTCATTTTAATAGACACTTTAGTTCATTTTGATTAGTCTATGGGCTACAGTTTAAAAATCACTTATCCAGATGGTATGTTGTATCTTCAAAATAGTATCAGGTTACACATCCTCAGAATTTTATATTAAGAGTATATAATTATAATTAAAGACCCATTTGCATCTTTATTAGTTTAATGAGTCTTTCCAACTAGATCAAGTAAAACTGATAAAGTTTACACCTGATAGATACTTCTTTGTGGGTAGGAGGCAAGGTGATTTGCTAAGGTTGAGAAGAAAGAGGTGGAAGGCTGGGAGATTAACATTTAGGAAATGTATGTGGGATAGAAGTCAATGATTCAAGGAGAAAAACTGTAGCAAAATAACCTTCTTGAACTAACCATATGTGCTCAGTGGCTTTTGCATAAGTTTCACAGAAAATCCTTTCACATCTCACAATGAAATATGAACAGCCAGTTAATGAGTAACCAAAATTTTAGACAAGATAGTAACTCATCCTTTGTTATCAAGGTAGAAAAATATAAAAGACTATAGAGATGAACTTCAAATCCAAATCCACCTGCTTCCAAATCCATGTTATATCAATTGTACCTTAAAATTTTTCAAATAAAAAGAGTGACCCCAGCTATGGAACAAAGATTTTTACATTACATGTAAAAATCATTGTTTCTCCATTTTTTTCACATGTTGATCTTTGTCCCACTCTTTTCTAATTCTATTTTTACATGAAAAATAATCAGTTCCTTAAAGACATGTTTCATATGTGCTTACATACTCTAATGTGCAAGACCAATTCTGAAGCAGTTTGGGCTACTCCAGCTGTCTCTAATTCTCCATATAGATAAACCTCTAGATCTTTAACACAGTTGGTACTCGTTAATGGTGTGCCCTTGGGCAAGGTACTGAAACATTGTTTGCCTTATTTTCCCCACCTGTAAAATGAGGTTAAAAATGGTACTAACCTATTGCGAATAGTGCCGCAATAAACATAACATGTGCGTGTGTCTTTATAGTAGAATGATTTATAATCCTTGGGTTATACACCCAGTAATGGGATTGCTGGGTCAAATGGTATTTCTAGTTCTAACCAACCCGAATGCCCATCAGTGATAGACTGGGTAAAGAAAATGTGACACATATACACCATGGAATACTATGCAGTCATAAAAAAGGATGAGTTCATGCCCTTTGCAGGGACATGGATGAAGCTGGAAACTATCATCCTCAGCAAACTAACACAAGAACAGAAAACCAAACACCACATGTTCTCACTCATACGTGGTAGTTGAACAATGAGAGCACATGGACACAGGGAGGGGAACATCACACACCAGGTCCTGTCGGGCTGGGCAGTGGGGAGCAAGGGGAGGGAGAGCTTTAGGAGAAATACTTAATGTAGGTGACAGGTTGATGGGTGCAGCAAACCACCCTGTCATGTGTATATACCTATGCAGAAAAACTGTACGTTCTGACATGTAACCCAGAATTTAAAGTATAATTTTTTTTTTTTTTTTTTTTGGGGACGGAGTTTCGCTCTGTCGCCCAGGCTGGAGTGCAGTGGCGCGATCTCGACTCACTGCAAGCTCCGCCTCCCGGGTTCACGCCATTCTCCTGCCTCAGCCTCCCGTGTAGCTGGGACTACAGGCGTGCGCCACCATGCCCGGCTAATTTTTTTTGTATTTTTAGTAGAGACGGGGTTTCACCGTGTTAGCCAGGATGGTCTCGATCTCCTGACCTTGTGATCCGCCCATCTCGGCCTCCCAAAGTGCTGGGATTACAGGCGTGAGCCACCGCGCCCGGCCTAAAGTATAATTTTTTTAAAAAAAAGAAGAAAAAAAATGGCACTAACCTCACAAAGTAGTTCTGCATCTATATATACACACACATACACATAACCTAATTAAAATTGTTCATGGTACATGGTAAATCCTATGTAAGGTATAAATTTCAGCTATCATTATCATCATCATTATTGCCATCACCAGCATCATCATTTGTAGTTTATTGTTACATTGCATTGACTCCTCAGCATGTGTGTTCCATCTTTTTTCCAAGTTACATTGCTTTAAGTAAAAATTTACCTGTTTCCTAATTTAAAAAATAAATTAAACTACAACATGTATATCATGTTCATGCTCTTACAGAAAAGAACAAGTTCTCACTACTTTTCACTCTGAAATGAAAATTCTACATGTCTAATTCAATATGTAATTATTATTGTTTTTATAATAATTTTTTATGGAATGTAAAGTGTAACCCAAGGAATTGAGTGGGTTTCCTATCTTATTTCGTTTTTTGATAATTTACAATAAAGCCTTTTAATTGGCCTTGGAAGTTTTTATAAAGATGACATTTTACATTTAAACCAGAATGCAGTAAAAAGACTCCTCTTGCAGGCAGCACAGAAAAAAATGTTTCTTAGAGGCAGCTTCTAAGGCCATCCAATTTCTTTTAATTCAAGGTACTCATCATGCCAGAGCATCATACTTTGAGGTCTTGCTCGATTGGGCCTAACATTCCCCTGTCTGAAACTTCCCTAGAAGTTTTACACACTAAAAGTTGAGTTGAAGGCTATGCAGAGAGAATAATCAAGTTGGTAGCTGAGCGGCAAAAGATCTCATAAACCAGGCTCTCATTCCTGGGAAAAGGTCAGTCCAGTGAAGCAGTTGTGTCTCATTTTAGCCTCTGTATGGTACTGGCAAAGAAGTCTTTAATAAGAGACATTTCAATGGAAATAGAATAAAACAAAGGCTAATGTTTGGAGCAGCCTGTAAGGTAGATTCTCTAGAGTTTAGAGGGCAGTCAATTGAGAAGATTCCAAGATTTGTGTTTGAAGTTGAAACAGAAAGATGTAAAGGCAATCTAACAGATTTTCCTGCATTGCAGTTTAAACGTAAGATGATATCTCTGACACTTATTTATCAAGGCAGCCATTTTTAGCTTGTAGAGCTTCAGGAAAGCAGAGTTTTAACTTTTAGTGATTCCAAGTCACAGGATGGGAGAAAGATTTAAAATGTTAGTTTGGAGACTCACTGACAGATATTGGGAGAAACTAAAAATTCAGGATTCTGTTCAGATTGTAGGTAAATAATAAAAATGTGAAAACAATGGGCAGGGCTAGACTCTAATAACAGGTACACTATGGCTTTCCTCTGAAACATATTTTTTTCCATCCCCTGTCCCCTCATTTTTATCAGATAATCACAATAAGTCCAATGAATTGCAAAGTAAGTTTAATCTCATTAACTTGGCCTGCTTTCTTTGTTTGTTTGTTTGTTTTGCATAAATTGCAGCAAGTATAGTGATTGTTCATATAGGCTTGTTACCAGTCAAAGATATTTAAGTTATTGGTGGCAAATCTGTATGGGTCTGCAGCAACCTCAATTCTTGCCTTCTCAGAAGAAAGAATCTGACTGAGGAGCATAAGGCAGTAAAAGAGACCAAGGCAAGTGTCAGAGCAGGAGTGTACGTTTATTTAAAAGGCTTTAGGCCGGCCTGGTGAATTTTGGGAGGCCGAGGCAGGCGGATCCTCTGCGGTCAGGAGTTCAAGACCAGCCTGGCCAAAGTGGTGAAACCCCATCTCTACTAAAAATACAGAAATTAGCTGGGCATGGTGGCTGACGCCTGTAATCCCACTCACCCGGGAGGCTGAGGTAGGAGAATCGCTTGAACCTGGGAGGCGGAGGTTGAGCTGAGTGAGCTGAGATCGTGCCACTGCACTCCAGCCTGGATGCCAAAGCAAAATGCTGCCTCAAAAAAAAAAAAAAAAGCTTTAAAACAGGAAGTACACTTGGAAGAGAGCCAAGTGGGAACTGAGGTCAAGTGCAATGTTTACCTTTGATTCTAGGACTTCAGGCTGGCTGGCCACTTTCCCATGATTCTTCCCTTAGGATGGGCTGCCTGTATGTGCAGTACCCTCCTTACCCTTGGAAAGTGAGCATGTGCAGTGTGTTTAGGAAGTTGTATGCATGCCCATCTGAGGCTTTCTTCCCTTTTCCAGAAGAGTGCCCCCCAGAAGGTCACACTCTGCCATTTTGTCTTTTAATGCACATGCCTGGGAAGTTGCTTCTCCCTAGTGCTTGCATTCAATTAACACTTAGTGCAATAGGTGTGGACCATCAGAAAATGGCCTTTCCCTGGCACCAGCTGCCAATTTATCACTTTTAGAGAGACAATGCGATAATTGCTGGACCATCATCCGACATTCCTAGTGGGTTGGGGGAGAGCCCTCTCTTGCCCCACTCATGCCTATCTAACTACTTGTAATAGGCTCTTTTTAAGTTTCCTTTGTTGGAACTTTAAGTAAGGGACCTCAGAATAGACATTTTAAATAACCTCTTTAGGCTAGGAAACCAAGCCAAGGTCTTACCATCAAACTTTACTTGTAGAAGCTAGCTGAATTCTTCTCTCTTTTAGGCTCACAAAATATTTTGAGGTCCCAAGGCAGGTCAGAAAGTCACATTCTTGAATCTCCACAAGGCCAGGAAACTTGTATTCAAGGTACCAGCTCAGCTTCTTCAAGGGGCTTTTACTGGTTTCATAAATCCAACCTCAGTTTTTTAAAGTTGTCTGTTCATATCTGAAGAATTGACATTCTAGTGAAAGTTTTGGTAATATAATCTGTGTTTCCAGCTATCTCCTGTTAGAACAAATTTTTGTTGAATTTATGTGGGTAAGTATATTGTCAGAAAGTTAACAACACTCATGAATATTTTCTGAATTACAGAGGGATCAGGAAGGGAGAAAAGGTGAATGATTCAATGCTGCTCAAAAAAAGTATACTTTACCAAATTTCTGTAAGCTATAGATAGCTTAAAAACAAACATAAAAAATTCCTTTAATCTAGCAAACAAAAAGAATTAACAATGTTTCAAGCAAAAAGTATAATAATAATAGTGCCTCATCAGTTTATTTCCAAATAATTAATTTTTGTTCTCCTTGATGTTGGATTAGCAAGTTTATGAATCCAGGTCTTTTTTTTCTTTTAACAGAGTTCTAGAAATTCTCGAAGTTATCAGAAACCTATACTTGTCGCAGTTATTCTCATTCTTTTCATATATCTCATTGAGATACAATATTATAAGATTATAATTGCTTGCAAAGAGCTGTCATAAAAAGCATAAAAAAAGTACTGTGCTATGTACAGCAAGACATAAAATGGCCATGATTAAAAATCTGATGGGAGTTTATTATTATTTCTATGGCATAAAACAATTTAATATGTAGTTGCCCCTTGAACAAGAGAGGTTTCAACTGCAAGGATTCACTTATATACAGATTTTTTCCATAAATATATTGAAAAATTTTTGGAAATTTGCAACCATTTCAAAAAAACTTGGAGACAAACTGTGTAGCCTAGAAATTTCAAAAAAAAGAAAAAGTATGTAAGTAATGAATGTAGAAAATATATCTAGATACTATAAAATATATATAAATTAATTATAAAATATTAAAATTTATCAAAGCTTATGTACACAGGCACAGACTATACATGGCACTATTTGCAGTAGAGAAAAATGTAAAGAAACATAAAGATGAAGTAGTAAATCATAACTGCATAAAATTAATTGTAGCACATACTGTACTACTGTAAGCATTTCTTAACCACCTCCTATTGCTATTGTAGTGAGCTTATGTTGTGAGTATCTGCTTAAAATGCTATGTAATGCTAATCATCTTTGGATGAGTAGTACATCCTGATAGTAAATTGTGTATCAAAGTAAAAAGTTATCTCTACTGGGTATTATATATTTTTCATCCTGCTTAGTGCAATAACATAAACCTAAGTAACACCATGGGACTGAAACAAAGTGCCAGTAGTAATGCAGGAAGTGTTCCCAAGAAACACAGTCATGACATAATAAGAAAAAGTTTAAATTGCTTGATGTATATAATAGTTGGAAGTCTGTAGCTGTGGTGTCCTGCCAATTCCAGATAAATAAATCCAGCATAGAGATCATTGTAAAAAAAAGAAATTCATGAAATTGTAGGCGCAGCTATGCCAGCAGATGCAAAAACTTTGACTATTTTGTGAAATACCTTTTTATGTCATACTGAAAACATAGCTTTTATGTTGATGCGGGATTCCTCTAAGTAAGTCATACTTATAAACTCTAAAATAAGTCATTATATGACAACCTAACCAAACAGAAGGTAAATAATCTAAAGCTACATAATTTAATGCCAGCAAAGGATGGTTTGATAATTTTAGAAATATCAAGTTAACACAAGAAGCAGCTTCTGCTGACCAGGAGGCAGCAGACATGTTCCAGAAATTATTAAGAAAGTTGTTGAGGAGAAAGAATATCTGCCTTAACAGATGTTTAATGCAGATGAAAGTGCCATATTCTGAAGAGGAAAAAAAAAGCCAAAAGGACATTTCTTATTAAGGAAGAGAAACAAGCACCAGGATATAATGCAAGAAGGGATAGGCTAATTCTACTGTTTTGTGTATATGCAGTTGGGTATATGATCAGGACTGTCCTTATCTATAAAGCTGCTAACTACTGAACCTTGAAGAAAATGATCAGCTGTCCCTCTTTTCATTGTACAACATAAAGGCCAGGACAGCAAGAACATTTAATTTTGTTTTCTGGATTGGTTCTGTTAATGTTTGGCCCTGAAGTCAGGAAATACTTAGCCAGTAAGGGACTTCCTTTTAAAGTTTATTTAATATTGGGCAATGCCCCTGGGCTACTGGGAACCCCAGGAGTTTAATACTGAAGGTGTCAAAGTGGTATATTTGCACCCAACATAACATGTCTAACTCAGCCTCTAGATCATGGGTCACTAGGACCATTAAGGCTCATTACTCAGGGTACTGCATGAAGAGGATTGTCAATACTATGGAAGAGAGATCTGATAGAGAGAACATCATGAAGTCCAGAAGGATTACACCTTTGAAGATGCCATCATTGCTACAGAAAATGTCAAGAAATCCATTATGCCTGAAACAGTAAATTCCTTCTGGAGAAAACTGAGTGCAGATGTTGTGCATGACATAATATAATTTGTGACAGTGCCAATTAAGGAAATAAAAAAGTGGATAAAAAATAAATTAAAAAATAAAATTGTGGCCAAAAAAAAGTGAGGGGTGATGGGTGTTAAGACATAAATCTTGGAGAAATTCAAGAGCTAATAGACACCGTGCCAGAGGAATTAATAGAAGATTGAATGAAAATGAGTGCTGTCAAACCAATGCTAGATGATAAGGAAGAAGACATAGAAGAAGCAGTGCCAGAAAAGAAATGTACATTAGACAGTCTGGCAGTGTGTTAGATTGAAGACTGCTTTTGACTTCTTTTATTCCATGGACCCTTCTATGATATGGGCATGGAAACTAAAGCAAATGGTAGAATAAAAGTTGGTACCATATAGAAACCTTTTTAGGTCAATTGAAAATTTTGAAAGTCAGACAGAATTTATGATGTATTTCCATAATGTTATACTAAGTGTTCCTGCCTCTCTTGCTTTTGCTTCTACCACTTCTGCATTTTCTGCCTTGGCCCCACCCCTGAGACAGCAAAACCAACCCCTCTTCTTCCTCCTTTTCCTCAGCCTACTCAATATAAAGACAGTGAGGATGAAGACGTTTATGATTATCCACTTCATTTAATGAATAGAAAATCTGTTTTCTCTTTTTTATGATATTCTTAAAATTTCCTTTTTTCTAGCTAATTTTATTGTCAAAATGCAATATACAGAATATGAATTGACTGTTTATGTTATACAGTAGGCTATTAGTAGTTATTTTTTGAGGAGTCAAAAGTTTTATGTGAAATATTGACTGGGCAAGGGGTTGGCACACCTAATTTCTATGTTGTTCAAGGGTCAACTGTAATAACCAAAGATTATAAATGATAGTATTACGTCAAGACATACCGGATTTCTAGAAATCTCATATAATTTTGGAACACATTAATAACGTATTCATACAAATATAACTCAGTTAAATATAATTTCTTATTTGACAATATTATTATATAATTTTAAGATACTAAATAAGTCAAGTAGTTTAATATGTCTCTTTTGTATTTCCTGGGGCCCTTCTGGAATGTCTAAAATTTAGCTCAAGGTGAAAAAAAAAAAAAAGAAAATAACTTAATTCTGATTTTGCAAAATTTGTAAAAAAATAAAGGTTCAAAATCCTTTATCAAAAATAGGTCACAGGTTATTACAAAATAGTATTCATTTAATCAATATCACTAATAACATCATGAGGCATACAGAATCTCTCTCTCTTCTTTTTAAAAATACTCACACAAAACATAACAAAATATTTTTATCTTTTATTAATACTACATTAAAATCTGTGTAAAGGAGAAGAGAAAATCCTAGTTTTATATCAATGTACTTTTTCTATTAAGGTTCACTTTTTAAAACTTATAATAAATTCATGTAGCTTTAATCAGTTTAACCAGATAAGATTCTTTTTTGCACTGCTTCCTCTTTCTAACTTTTTATATCCATTTATTTTTATCTATAACATTTCTTTCTCCATTTATTTATTCTGAAACAATCTTTGAATACACTTTAGACTAGACAAAGTTATTTTGTCTCAATAAAAATACATATCTTCTATTCCTTTTTTATGTTTCCTCACCAAAAACACATCTTGCTTTTCTTGTATACTTGGTATGCAGAATTGTTTCCCTTATTTTTAGTAATTATAATTATGTATATTCACTAGAATTTTAACTCTTAGTAGCCTTAATTTTTAGTGAAATCCTAGGAAGTAAGCAGTTTTTAATTGTGTCATATAATCACATTTTATGAATACATATTTTATAATTTAAAAAAATTCAATTTTTTAAATGTAGAACAGGAAAGATTCAAATATATTGTTTGAATAATATTCAAACATAATAAATTCAAATATATTATGTTTGTTTGCAATATGAAACTGAAAGTAAAAAACAAACCTCACGGTCTGTAACTGATGTTTCGATATTTTATTTTATTTGGAAATTGTCTAGAAATTTTATAAATATATGTAAGTTAACTTAACAAATCTCTAAAGGTATAGATGTCAAAGAAATTTGAGAAAATTTTAAATTAAACATATTATAAATAATAATTGTTATTTAAAAATTATGTGTAAGTACTCCCACTTAATATATTTAATTCATTTCTTCTTAGGTCAAATTCATGCTTTTATAAGTTTGATCTTAAACATCCTCTAGAGATAAAAGCTCTGTATCTGCATTAGATTTAATGTTGACAGACATGCCTGTTTTAATTAAATCAATGTTATTCTTATTTACCAAGGATTACCAAAGTCACATGACCTTGAAAAGAATTTGTACTTATTTAATTTATGAATGTTCATTTATTCTTAAGTGAATTTGGTACCATGTGGACAATATACAAACACATGAAAGAAACAAACATCCATGTAGACACAACATGCCAAACACACCTGTACACATGCACATACAAAAATACAAACAGAAACAAACAGAGATCTTTCAGCTTTTCAAAAACATTAGCCTTGAGACAGGTACAAAAACTAACTAGTTTAAACAGTTGGATCTAAACTGTGCCACTGTAAATGAAATAAGTTAATCTCTCATATGGCTAAAGCCACCTACTGAGTTCTAGAGATGGGTAGGAAATTTATATCTTGAAGGCACAGAGAAAGATTGCAAATTCTTTCAAGAGGAGTTTGGAGTCTGTAAGCTAGGTAAGACACAGAGTGAGATCTACAGCAGTTGCTAAGGCACAATAAAATCAAGAGAATTTACTACAGAATTTTACAAGAAAGTATACAAACGAGCCTAAAAGAATATTCAGAAGCCTGTGCAAAATAACTGGCTGGCTGAATGTCAGACACTTGAGATTTGCTTTTGTTTTGTTTTGTTTTGTGTGTGTGTCTACCTAAGCATGCAAAGAGGCAAAGAGGATAAAAGTTGGAGTTTGCCCCCTACAAATAACCATTTACTGTAATTATTGCCAGTTACCGTTAAAGTTGCAGCTGTTGCTAGTATCTCATCAGTAACCATATACCCAAATGTCAGGTGTTGTCTCACAGTATAAAATAACCCTTGATATCCCCAAAAGTCAAAGTGACCAGGGAGCTCAGTGCAAAAAGAAAGCAGAGTTTCAAACTTGTGGGGATCCCAACCGCAACTCTTGTGACTTTGTGAGGAAGACAAGAACAACATAAAGGAAACAGTGGTGCACCTTTTTTGTTTCTCTAAGGATTTCAAGAGTGCTAGAAGTCTCCTTTAGGTGTTTTTATATTGTCTCCAGAACTCTGATTTTTCCTCTTATTGCATCAAATGGAGAAAGTAGTAGCTTGAGGGGGAGCATTTCGAGAGAGCTAGTTGCAAGATCAAAGGTAGCAAAAGGAAGGAAGGGCAGAAGTATATGGATGAGCAGGTCTTAGAGGAGTGATTTGGGGGAGATCTTAACTTTCCCCAAAAGGCCAGTGAAGTTCAGTTAGTAGGGATTTGAGAAAAGGGGTTCAGTAGACCAAGAAGTTCCTATGAGAAGAATAGGATCAAAGAAAGAACAAGGAAGTTTGTAAATATGTAGTCTCAATGTTAGCTTTTATTAAGCTAACTTTTTGACAGTATAGCTCTCTTCAAAATTCTTTTTCTTCTTTTTCTTAAGAGCAAAGCAGTTCAGTTTTCATTGTCTAAATTTTTAATAATATCTGCACAATTATAGAGGCCAAATAGGGAAGGTCCTGTGGTTGATGAGAAGGTTGGGTGGTCTTTGAGTAACTTTTAGAGGTACGTCTAAAAGTCTCCGTAGAGACACAATTTGCAATACAAAGACAGTTGCTGTTTATTCACTTATGAATTGGATTATGGCTTGAATAATATAAAGGACTGACTCATTCACTCAATTGCATTATCTTCAATTTGCTCTTTAGTATTAGGGAATGGATTATGTCAAAAATATAAAGAGGGTTCTAATGGCTAAATCTTGATCAATGTAAGCATCAAAATAAATATGGTAATTAATTTCATATTAAAAATAAAAAGCCGAAATAACCTGGGGGGAGGAGCCAAGATGGCCGAATGGGAACGGCTCCAGTCTGCAGCTCCCGGCGTGAGTGACGCAGAGGACGGGTGATTTCTGCATTTCCCTCTGAGGTGCCGGGTTCATCTCACTGGGGAGTGCCAGACGGCGGGCGCAGATCGGTGGGTGCGCGCACTGTGCGCGAGCCGAAGCGGGGCGAGGCATTGCCTCACTTGGGAAGCGCAAGGGGTTGGGGAGTTCCCTTTCCGAGTCAATGAGAGGGGTGACGGACGCACCTGGAAAATCGGATCACTCCCACCCAAATATTACGCTTTTCCGAACTGCTTAGGGAACGGTGCACCACGAGATTGTATCCTGCAACTGGCTCGGAGGGTCCTACGCCCACGGAGTCTCGCTGATTGCTAGCACAGCAGTCTGAGATCCAGCTGCAGGGCGGCAGCGAGGCTGGGGGAGGGGCGCCCGCCATTGCCCAGGCTTGCTTAGGTAAACAAAGCAGCCGGGAAGCTCGAACTGGGTGGAGCCCACCACAGCTCAAGGAGGCCTGCCTGCCTCTGCAGCCTCCACCTCTGGGGGCAGGGCACAGACAAACAAAAAGACAGCAGTAACCTCTGCAGACTTAAATGTCCCTGTCTGACAGCTTTGAAGAGAGCAGTGGTTCTCCCAGCACGCAGCTGGAGATCTGAGAATGGGCAGACTGCCTCCTCAAGTGGGTCCCTGACCCCTGACCCCCGAGCAGCCTAACTGGGAGGCACCCCCCAGCAGGGGCACACTGACACCTCACACGGCAGGATATTCCAACAGACCTGCAGCTGAGGGTACTGTCTGTTAGAAGGAAAACTAACAAACAGAAAGGACATCCACACTGAAAACCCATCTGTACATCACCATCATCAAAGACCAAAAGTAGATAAAACCACAAAGTTGGGGAAAAAACAGAACAGAAAAACTGGAAACTCTAAAACGCAGAGCGCCTCTCCTCCTCCAAAGGAACGCAGTTCCTCACCAGCAACGGAACAAAGCTGGATGGAGAATGACTTTGACGAGCTGAGAGAAGAAGGCTTCAGACGATCAAATTACTCTGAGCTATGGGAGGACATTCAAACCAAAGGCAAAGAAGTTGAAAACTTTGAAAAAAATTTAGAAGAATGTGTAACTAGAATAACCAATACAGAGAAGTGCTTAAAGGAGCTGATGGAGCTGAAAACCAAGGCTCGAGAACTACGTGAAGAATGCAGAAGCCTCAGGAGCTGATGCGATCAACTGGAAGAAAGGGTATCAGCGATGGAAGATGAAATGAATGAAATGAAGCGAGAAGGGAAGTTTAGAGAAAAAAGAATAAAAAGAAATGAGCAAAGCCTCCACGAAATATGGGACTATGTGAAAAGACCAAATCTACGTCTGATTGGTGTACCTGAAAGTGATGGGGAGAATGGAACCAAGTTGGAAAACACTCTGCAGGATATTATCCAGGAGAACTTCCCCAATCTAGCAAGGCAGGCCAACGTTCAGATTCAGGAAATACAGAGAACGCCACAAAGATACTCCTCGAGAAGAGCAACTCCAAGACACATAATTGTCAGATTCACCAAAGTTGAAATGAAGGAAAAAATGTTAAGGGCAGCCAGAGAGAAAGGTCGGGTTACCCTCAAAGGGAAGCCCATCAGACTAACAGCGGATCTCTCGGCAGAAACCCTACAAGCCAGAAGAGAGTGGGGGCCAATATTCAACATTCTTAAAGAAAAGAATTTTCAAACCAGAATTTCATATCCAGCCAAACTAAGCTTCATAAGTGAAGGAGAAATAAAATACTTTACAGACAAGCAAATGCTGAGAGATTTTGTCACCTCCAGGCCTGCCATAAAAGAGCTCCTGAAGGAAGCGCTAAACATGGAAAGGAACAACCGGTACCAGCCGCTGCAAAACCAAGCCAAAATGTAAAGACCATCGAGACTAGGAAGAAACTGCATCAACTAACAAGCAAAATCACCAGCTAACATCATAATGACAGGATCAAATTCACACATAACAATATTAACTTTAAATGTAAATGGACTAAATGCTCCAATTAAAAGACACAGATTGGCAAATTGGATAAAGAGTCAAGACCCATCAGTGTGCTGTATTCAGGAAACTCATCTCACGTGCAGAGACACACATAGGCTCAAAATAAGAGGATGGAGGAAGATCTACCAAGCAAATACAAAACAAAAAAAGGCAGGGGTTGCCATCCTAGTCTATGATAAAACAGACTTTAAACCAACAAAGATCAAAAGAGACAAAGAAGGCCATTACATAATGGTAAAGGGATCAATTCAACAAGAAGAGCTAACTATCCTAAATATATATGCACCCAATACAGGAGCACCGAGATTCATAAAACAAGTCCTGAGTGACCTACAAATAGATGTAGACTCCCACACATTAATAATGGGAGACTTTAACACCCCACTGTCAACATTAGACAGATCAACGAGACAGAAAGTCAACAAGGATACCCAGAATTGAACTCAGCTCTGCACCAAGCGGACCTAATAGACATCTACAGAACTCTCCACCCCAAATCAACAGAATATACATTTTTTTCAGCACCACACCACACCTATTCCAAAATTGACCACATACTTGGAAGTAAAGCTCTCCTCAGCAAATGTAAAAGAACAGAGATTATAACAAACTATCTCTCAGACCACAGTGCAATCAAACTAGAACTCAGGATTAAGAATCTCACTCAAAACCGCTCAACTACATGGAAACTGAACAACCTGCTCCTGAATGACTACTAGATACATAACAAAATGAAGGCAGAAATAAAGATGTTCTTTGAAACCAATGAGAACAAAGACACAACATACCAGAATCTCTGGGACGCATTCAAAGCAGTGTGTAGAGGGAAATTTATAGAACTAAATGCCCACAAGAGAAAGCAGGAAAGATCCAAAATTGGCACTCTAACATCACAATTAAAAGAACTAGAAAAGCAAGAGCAAACACATTCAAAAGCTAGCAGAAGGCAGGAAATAACTAAAATCAGAGCAGAACTGAAGGAAATAGAGACACAAAAAACCCTTCAAAAAATTAATGAATCCAGGAGCTGGTTTTTTTGAAAGGATCAACAAAATTGATAGACTGCTAGCAAGACTAATAAAAAAAGAGAGAAGAATCAAATAGACACAATAAAAAATGATAAAGGGGATATCACCACCGATCCCACAGAAATACAAACTACCATCAGAGAATACTACAAACACCTCTACGCAAATAAACTAGAAAATCTAGAAGAAATGGATAAATTCCTCGACACATACACTCTCCCAAGACTAAACCAGGAAGAAGTTGAATCTCTGAATAGACCAATAACAGGAGCTGAAATTGTGGCAATAATCAATAGTTTACCAACCAAAAAGAGTCCAGGACCAGATGGATTCACCGAATTCTACCAGAGGTACAAGGAGGAACTGGTACCATTCCTTCTGAAACTATTCCAATAAATAGAAAAAGAGGGAATCCTCCCTAACTCATTTTATGAGGCCGGCATCATTCTGATACCAAAGCCGAGCAGAGACACAACCAAAAAAGAGAATTTTAGACCAATATCCTTGATGAACATTGATGCAAAAATCCTCAATAAAATACTGGCAAACCGAATCCAGCAGCACATCAAAAAGCTTATCCACCATGATCAAGTGGGCTTCATCCCTGGGATGCAAGGCTGGTTCAATATACGCAAATCAATAAATGTAATCCAGCATATAAACAGAGCCAAAGACAAAAACCACATGATTATCTCAATAGATGCAGAAAAAGCCTTTGACAAAATTCAACAACCCTTCATGCTAAAAACTCTCAATAAATTAGGTATTGATGGGACGTATTTCAAAATAATAAGAGCTATCTATGAGAAACCCACAGCCAATATCATACTGAATGGGCAAAAACTGGAAGCATTCCCTGTGAAAACTGGCACAAGACAGGGATGCCCTCTCTCACCACTCCTATTCAACATAGTGTTGGAAGTTCTGGCCAGGGCAATTAGGCAGGAGAAGGAAATAAAGGGTATTCAATTAGGAAAAGAGGAAGTCAAATTGTCCCTGTTTGCAGATGACATGATTGTATATCTAGAAAACCCCATTGTCTCAGCCCAAAATCTCCTTAAGCTGATAAGCAAATTCAGCAAAGTCTCAGGATACAAAATCAATGTACAAAAATCACAAGCATTCTTACACACCAACAACAGACAAACAGAGAGCCAAATCATGAGTGAACTCCCATTCACAATTGCTTCAAAGAGAATAAAATACCTAGGAATCCAACTTACAAGGGACGTGAAGGACCTCTTCAAGGAGAACTACAAACCACTGCTCAAGGAAATAAAAGAGGATACAAACAAATGGAAGAACATTCCATGCTCATGGGTAGGAAGAATCAATATCGTGAAAATGGCCATACTGCCCAAGGTAATTTACAGATTCAATGCCATCCCCATCAAGCTACCAATGACTTTCTTCACAGAATTGGAAAAAACTACTTTAAAGTTCATATGGAACTAAAAAAGAGCCTGCATCACCAAGGCAATCCTAAGCCAAAAGAACAAAGCTGGAGGCATCACACTACCTGACTTCAAACTATACTACAAGGCTACAGTAACCAAAACAGCATGGTACTGGTACCAAAACAGAGATACAGATCAATGGAACAGAACAGAGCCCTCAGAAATAACGCCGCATATCTACAACTATCTGATCTTTGACAAACCTGAGAAAAACAAGCAATGGGGAAAGGATTCCCTATTTAATAAATGGTGCTGGGAAAACTGGCTAGCCATATGTAGAAAGCTGAAACTGGATCCCTTCCTTACACCTTATACAAAAATCAATTCAAGATGGATTAAAGACTTCAACGTTAGACCTAAAACCATAAAAACCCTAGAAGAAAACCTAGGCATTACCATTCAGGACATAGGCATGGGCAAGGACTTCATGTCCAAAACACCAAAAGCAATGGCAACAAAAGACAAAATTGACAAATGGGATCTAATTAAACTAAAGAGCTTCTGCACAGCAAAAGAAACTACCATCAGAGTGAACAGGCAACCTACAAAATGGGAGAAAATTTTCGCAATCTACTCATCTGACTAAGGGTTAATATCCAGAATCTACAATGAACTCAAACAAATTTACAAGAAAAAAACAACCCCATCAAAAAGTGGGCGAAGGACATGAACAGACACTTCTCAAAAGAAGACATTTATGCAGCCAAAAGACACATGAAAAAATGCTCGTCATCACTGGCCATCAGAGAAATGCAAATCAAAACCACAATGAGATACCATCTCACACCAGTTAGAATGGCAATCATTAAAAAGTCAGGAAACAACAGGTGCTGGAGAGGATGTGGAGAAATAGGAACACGTTTACACTGTTGGTGGGACTGTAAACTAGTTCAACCATTGTGGAAGTCAATGTGGTGATTCCTCAGGGATCTAGAACTAGAAATACCATTTGACCCAGCCATCCCATTACTGGGTATATACCCAAAGGACTATAAATCATGCTGCTATAAAGACACATGCACACATATGTTTATTGCGGCATTATTCACAATAGCAAAGACTTGGAACCAACCCAAATGTCCAACAATGATAGACTGGATTAAGAAAATGTGGCACATATACACCATGGAATACTATGCAGTCATAAAAAATGATGAGTTCATGTCCTTTGTAGGGACATGGATGAAATTGGAAATCATCATTCTTAGTAAACTATCGCAAGAACAAAAAACCAAACACCGCATATTCTCACTCATAGGTGGGAATTGAACAATGAGATCACATGGATACAGGAAGGGGAATATCACACTCTGGGGACTGTGGTGGGGTGGGGAGAGGGGGGAGGGATAGCACTGGGAGATATACCTAATGCTAGATGATGATTTAGTGGGTGCCGCGCACCAGCATGGCACATGTATACATATGTAACTAACCTGCACAATGTGCACATGTACCCTAAAACTTAAAGTATAATAAGAAAAAAAAAAAGAACAAATAACCTAAAAAAAAATAATAATAAATAAAATAAAAAGCCTACTTGCCTATGCTGATACTAAATGAATATATGACAAGGAAAATACCACGTAAAAGAAATTATAGTTACAAAATCTCTTTTGCAATCATAGAAATAACTGATTACAGAAAAAACTTAATGGATACTAAAACTAAACATATTTAATGGGAAATATAATACTTAACAATCTCAACATGTCACAACTAATTGGTTAATTACAAGGAAAATAGAAACTTTTCAGTGGAGAAGTCTGGCAAACAATATTTTACCAAATTACCAGAGTTAACATTACCGAATCATAGGATAAACTGACATCGTGTGTCTCCTAATGCGATGTACTGAAAATGACATAAAAATGACAGTATTCCTAACAAAATGATCACTTGTATTTAATCATGAGGCAACAATAATAAAAAAATAAGATTAAATTCAATGAAATCACTGGTTAGTATTCTTAAGAAATACCAATGTCATGAATGTCAAAAGATGAGGAAATGAGAGTAAAGAGACATGAAGACTATATTAGAAAATAAAACTTGTGGAAGACTTTATTGAGGGCAACTGGCAACATTTGAATATGAATGGTATAATAAATAATAGTACTTTAATCAATATTAAAGTCCTTTATTTTATAATTGCACTGTATATAAAATAATATCATATTTTAGGAAATACACATACTGTAATATTTAGGAATAAGTGTTCATAATGTCTTCAATTCACTATAAAATTGTTCAGTGCAAAACATTTATACACACATGCACACAGTTAATGTTAAAAAGCTAAGAATTGGTGAATATGGGTGAAGAGAATAAGAAAGTTCATAGAGTTTCTTCCAACTTCTCTATTTATTTTTATGCTTTTTAAAATTAAAAGTACAAAGAAGGATTGAAAGAGCAGGGGAGGGGGGAGTTTTTCATTCATTCTGAACCTTACTCTCATGCCTTTCACAAGAATGGGAATGGAAGCTATCAAACAAAAGGAAAATTAGACATTTTTCATGATGGCACCATAATTGCCACACATTCATCTCCCTTAATGATTTATTTTAAATAAAATGTCATTTGTGTGTGTGTGTGTGTGTGTGTGTGTGTATACATAATATGTGTAATTGATGTGTAAATAATATATTTATATTTATATACCATATTTACATTTATATTAATTATGTGTAGATAATATCTATGGTGTGTATATATATACCTTATATTATATATAAGTGTATATATAGTGTATGTATATATATACCATATATATGGTATACATATACACATTATATTATATATAAGTATATATATGTGCTTATTAACATCTGCAAATACTTTATTATTTTATGAGCTCTATTTTACTATTGAAATGGTAACAATTGCTTTAAAAATGAGAATGCATTAGAATTACCCAGAGAGCTTACAAAAATGAAAATTCCTGGCCACAATCCCCCAAAATTCTGACTCAGGGAATGCACTGTGGGCATAAGCATCTGTATCATTAACAAGCACTCCGGGTGATTCTGAAATAGATCATCAGCAACTTACCTGGTGAGATACACTGAAGCGCTTTTGAGCTTCCTCCCTAGGGAGGCCAGCTGAATCTGGCTTTTGTCTATGAGTAAGTGCACATCATTAGAAGAAAGAAAGTTTCTCCTGAAAATCAGACAGCAACCATTTAAGAGCAGAAAGGGAAAATCTATTCAATCTTGTTCTTATTCTCTAGAACCCAACAGTTAATTTCTTCCACCTTCAATGAAACGTTTTGAATATTTTCCTTCCTGACTCCTCAGCATCTCCTTTCATGACCAGGTAGAAATTAGGGTTTCAGTGCATGCCAGGTATTAGAATTTATAGTCATTCTTTTTTAAGCAATTAAAAATCTACAAAATTACAAATAATAAACATTGTGAACCTGACATTTTAAACTTACAGTTATTTACATTTTGTACTCCTTTTTCTTAAAGAAAAATAAATTCCAGTTCAAGTTTAAATCCCTACTGTTCTATACTACAGGTTCGATTCCCACACCCCATTCCAAACCCCAAGAAACAACCATTATTTGGAATGCAGTGTAATCCTTCTAGTTCATTTTTTTAACCTTTATATGTGCATGTACGCTCATAGCCAGTACACAGCATTTTGAGACTTTTCTTTGTATTTACATAAATAACATAACATGTTTCGTTTGGTATTTGATTTTATTCATCACCATGTTTTTGAATCTATTCATTTGGATAAAGATAAATCTAGTTCAATAAACACGCATTTAAGATATCTAGCTTAAAACAACATGCTAAGATAAATCTAGCATAAAACAATACATATTTATTATCTCACCATGTCCATGGGTCAACTTTACAGCCATAGCTAACCTGGCTGTTCAATTTGGGGTGTGACAGGCTGCAGCCAAGGTGTCTGTTGGGGTTGTGGTCTCATTTGGAGCTTGGGTTTACTTTCATGCTAACTTAGTTGTTGGCAGAATTCAGTTCCTTGCAGTAGAGTTGAGGCTCACAGTTCCCTTTCATGTGGCCTTCTCCATTGGCAGTCCATAACTTAGCAGCTCGATTCTTCAAAACCAGCATGAGTGTCCTCAGGTGTACATGCAAGTAAGACTGAGTTTTATATACACATGCAGTCGCTATTTGAAGGGTATAATGGGAATTCAAAAATTATTATGCAAACTGAAACTAGGTGAAGCATCTTAACAATTGATGAAAAATTATAATTTCCTTATGATTGTTCTGTGAACTTTAAAATTTTTTTGTCAAAACTTTAAAAACTCTTACTCTAAATTGAAAAATTAAAAAATAAAAAATGAAATACATTTAAAATTGTAATTTCAAACTCTGGAAACATTAGGAATTGAAGTGCTTTATTTCTTTGTTTAAAAATATAACTTACCAAGAGTAGATTGAATAGTGCTTGTCTTCCTCTTTTCATCACATTCAAGTGAAATAGCATATTGTCTATACCTTGGTATAATTTTGGTATACCAAGTCAATGACTTTGTATAGTTCTTTTAAAGTTTAAGTCAACTTCTAATGTTTTATGCTTTCCAAGTTAAATACTAGATGTCTCCAAGAGTTCCTTTAATGTGAAGTGTTTTCCCACTATTACTTCCTCTGAACCTTCCTCCCCCCTCCTTTTTTAAATCACAACCGCTTTTCTCATTTATATCAATACATTTGTCTTCACTAAGTTCTTCAGGGTGCATGTCTATATTTTCTCCTTCATGGCCACTTAGAAACTCTGCGTCTTTTTTCATGGAAGTTTTAATGAGATTTCCTTCCAAAACCGACTCCTCTCATCAGCATTAAATATTTCACAATCATTACATCAACCTTAATCAATCCTTGGGATATGGGTGCAAATTTCACAGCTGCATCCTTATTGGCTCCAGCTGCTTCACCAGATAGACTAAAATTAATCAATTTATGCAACTTCTGAAACAATTAAACCACCTTTATTGGCAATAAATTTACTTCTTCAGCCTCAGTAATTAGCTTTTTTTTTCAATGACTTCAAACTTCAAAACTTTGTCTTGAATACTAGACAAACTGATTGGGATTGTTTCTGTCGTAATATTCAACCCAAAGGTGAAATAAATGCTCAATTCCTTATACAATTTTAACAGATGATGTTGAAATAACTTTGCCTTGTTTTTTAATATTCATTTTACTTTTTCAATATCATTGAAAAAAAAGTAGCTTCATGAAAATATTGGTCTTGTCCTATGGTTGCCTTGTCATCTCAACATTCAAATCTAATCTAATCCAATTTCACTCCCGGTATTTTCACTTGTCATTTATTTGCTGTACTTTCATCTTTGGTAGTCAAATCCCTCTATCAATTGTCCATTCCTGTAAAATGGTATGTTGCTTATCACAGGACAAGGAGACAACACAACTATAGGCTTTTCTGTCTCTGCATGAAATGACTGGATTATGTTATGTAATGAACACTTACCAACAGACTTTGACAGAAGTGACATGATTCGTCACTGATCATATATGCATCTGTTATTTACATAGTGATATATAGTCTGAAAAGGTAGCAAAGTTTGTATATTTTCAATTACAGTTAAGATACTGCAGTAACTGAATTTGGATCATGTAGTTGGGGTCTGGTATTATTTACCTAAACTATGGTAACTGAAATTTTTGCATAAGAAAACTTTGCAAATCAAGGAATGACTGTATATCATAACCTAATCATAAGAATGACATTCTATCATCATGACCGTATTCCATCGGTTTTACAAAAGTCACAGGTACCACTCACAATCAAAAGGAGGGGATTATAGAGAACACAGCATCAGAGAGTGAAGATCACAGGGGCCATCTTAGAATTCTGCCTACCTTAAGCATTCATAATTTTATTAGATTCTGTCTAAATCTATAGCATTTGCACTCCTACCTGGAGTATATAAGGAATCTGCCTTTCCACAATTTTACTGGCACTTGCTTATTATCCGATATTTATTTTTTACCAATTTAATAGTTGACAATCTCTATCTTAGTTTAAAATTGCATTTTTAAAACGTTCATTGAAATCTAACATTTTATACGCACTTAAAAATTAACTTCCTTCTAAAAAAGTTGCATATACCCATGGCTTGTTTTGTAACTGTTGATATTTTTCATTTTATTCCTAGGAGAATATAGTTTCTATATTCTATATTCTGGACAGCCAATCTTAGTATACTGTATACACTGAAAATACATTCTCTTAACCTGATGCTTATCTTTAATTTAATCATGTCTTTTATTTTATAGAGAATTTTTACTTGACTGTATCAGTGTTTCCCTTAATGCTTTCTAAAAATGCTCCTTGCAGTCAACTAAATGTTTATTTCCCCCAGAAAAATCATATGTTGAAATACTAACAGCCAATGTGATGCTATTCAGAGGTTTAGCCTTTGGGAGATAATTAGGTCATGAAGACGGAGCCTTCATTTATGGGAATAGTGCCCTTATCAAAGGGATGCTGAGATCTTTCTCACCCTCTTTCCACCATATGAGGATACAGGAGATACAGCAGTACAGCAGTACTGCATATGAGGATACAGGACACAGCAGTGTGTGACCTGGAAAAGGGTCCTCCCCAGAACCTGACCATGTTGGCTCCCAGACTTCAGACTTCCAGCCTCCAGAGCTGTGAGAAATATATTTCTATTGCTTATAAGCCACCCAGTATATGATAGTTTGATAGAGCAGCTTGAATGAATTAAAATATTCCCCAAGCTCTAAACCAAATCTGTTAATATTTTTTCTTCACATAAAAGAACCAAAATATAGACTTAACAATTCATTGTTAAATCATAACAATTATAAATGTATTGCTATAACTGGTTTAGATTCTAAATATCCAAAGTTAAATTTTAACATCAAAAGCAGCTGTGAAATTAGGAAGCATTAAAATGTGTCATTCTTTGCTATATCAACTCAATTCTCCAAAAAAAAATAGTATGCTTTGACAAGAATCCATTAAAATAGGACATAGGTAGAAAATACCAAAGACAATTTCAGATTTGGCTCAAAAAGAACATGGCTGAGATAGGCCCACTTTAGCAATAACTTGGAAAATTTACACCCAAGGTTAAATGAGAAGTGCTACTATTCATTTAAACATTTCAGATACATCAGAATAGCAACATTGTTATAAAATTGCCTACCCTACAAGCCCAAAGTGTCACTCTGAAGTTTGGCTTAAACAGCTTTTCTGGAATATGAAGTCTATTGTTCTTTTCTTCTTTTTTTTTTCCAAGTAGGTTAATACAAAAGCACTTCAGTTAATGGGAAAGTCAAAGATTGAGTCTTTTCATCAAAATGTGAAATAGAAATGCTACAAAACTAAACAAAGAGATCTGTTTATTTGCACACAGACAAATTAAAAATGCATCTTAAAAAACAGCTTTTTCTTGTAGCTGGCTTTCATCTGAACTAATCTAACACACATGCACACACACATTATATATACATATATCTGCACCCATTAAAATATAATTAGAAATGACCTTTAAAAATGGTTTCCCAAGTGCCCATTATATAATTTTCACCAACCTCTTAATGTTATTAAGTTTTTGTTAAAACTGTCATTATGCTAACTGGGTTGTGATTCTTTTACATTTTTACTAAATTGTTCTGAAAAAAATCTCCTGTTTTTAAAATAAGCTTAACTTGTCTAAAACATATTTTTCATATGAAAGATATGCATACATTTGAGAATCTATTTCTGTTATCTATGTACTCCATATCAACATGCAAAGAGAACCGTGTAATTCAGCAAGAACCTCCACAAATTTCTTTTTGACAAATCCAAAGTCTAGATATCTGATAATATAACTCAAAGCTGCAGAGTTCTGGAGTCCAGCCTTCTGCCTTGTGAATTGCAGTTTATTCCCTGTAGGCAATACATCAACCTCTGAAAACCTGAATGAAAATTCAAAAAGAAAAAAAAATCTTCACACATATAGGCTTCTAAATCAATCTTCAAAGGTTTCAATGTATTTTAAAATTTCAGCCTCTGAAATTATCTGCTGAATTTACTATCTTTTTAATTCTTTGTTACAAAAATGTTCAGTATAGAGCTTTCTATTTTCTCTTCTTAAATTATCCTTATGTCTTAATAACTAAACTTTAATAACTAGCACTTATTTTTGAAATCTCATTAGATTGTAAAAAGTGGAGGTATAAGATCTCTCTTCTAAGGTATACTCTTGCTGAACCACTGAGAGCCATAAATGTCTGTGGCATGAAGAATTACCATAGTATTATAGATATAGACAAGCTTATTGTACCCCCCCCTTCCAAATCCATTCCCCATTCTTCTCTATGCTGCTTTCTACCCCCGGGGGTACCAATCTAAAGGGACTGAACAAAAGGGTTTTATTGCCTTAAGACTTCCAATTGGGTTGAGCCAATGGAAACCCTAGCAGGAGGTCTAAAGGAAAGAAAATTGGATTCAGAGTATTTGTTTCCATGGCTCCCTTAGGACATTTGCCCAGAAGTCACTGCACCTGGCAAAGCGCCAACTCGTACTCATTTTCCAGGTTCCTGAAACTGTTCTGCCTGTTTCAGGCTGAGGGATAGTAATAGCTTGGCAGTTACTATCTCTATCTTGCTCCACAGTACTCTGTGGTTCCCATACTCACACACTTGTGAAGTAAATTGTGTTTTTGTCAATGAACTTGTCTCAAATTATTCTTCTTTGAGTGTGTCATAGTTTTTTGGACTCCAATACATTTGCCATTACTTGAATCACTAATTCTGTAGACCAATATTAAATATTTAACATGGATACACCCACTTTTTTTCCTAATTCATTTAGTGGACATTAACAGCATGACAACTGTCTCATAGCATTTGTGACATTTTTTTACTGTCTAAAAGAAACCTTGAGAGAATCAGATTGAGTATACCCTAACCAGTCACATGAACTGAGCGTGGTCATAATTCTTTCATGTGTATTGTAGAGTGTGAAAATATGGAGCATGTGTTGGTGCTGAAGTACTAGGGACCAGAGGAAATATTTGAGTTGTGTCCAAAAGGAACCACATGGATGGTCTACACTATAAAAGAGCAATAGATATTCCATGAGGAGAGAAAAGATGGCTCTGAGACAAGAGAGATTTGCAGGATATTACAGGGCCCCTACTGGTGTAAAGTGTTCATGAGAGCTCTTTGAAGAAACAGGTGGCCTGAGAGGTGTAAATCACTGGATGAGAGATCTCTGTGAAGTATGGATACACTGCTGGAAAAATATCAGCAAGGACTGCCTGGGATCTCATTGCTCTGAAAAAACAGGTAAAGGAAAATTGGTATCAAGTGCCTTCTACAAGGAATAAGATCTACCAGATTGGATATGGTGCTGCAGACTTGGGAAGCAGGAAGTGATTCTATGTTAGGTCATTCTTGTGTTGCCTTAAAGAAATACCTGAGACTGGCTAATTTATAAAGAAAAGAGGATAAATAATCTCACAGTTCTGCACAGTGCAAGAAGTGTGGTGCCAGCACCTGCTTCTGGTGAAGGCCTTAGGAAACTACAATCACGGCAGAAAGCAAAACCAGAGCAGACACTTCGTTTGGTGACAGTGGGAGCAAGAGAGAGGCAGAGAAGGTGCCACACACTTAAACAACCAGATCTCACATGAACTCAGAGAAAAAAATCACTTATCATCAAGGGGATAGTGCTAAACCATTCTTGTGGGATCTGCCTCCATGATCTAATCATCTCCCATCAAGCCCCTCCAACATTGGGGATTACATTTCAACAGGAGATTTGGATTAGACAAACACCCAAACTGTATCAGATGTCCACTCTTGAAGTTCAGTCCTCCACAGGCAAGGGTCCAGGGTAGGGCAGGATAAGCAGATGGTCTCCCAACATTTTCCCATGAACCTCATAACAGACTCCAATCTTGTCCTAAAATGCACTTTTGGTGTAGTGAGTTTGATTGCAAGGGATCAGTGTTATGTACTGGTACCACTCTCAGATGCCCCAAAGTAAAGAACAGATTTAGGATTAAACAAAAATGAATTAAGACTTTATGAGATGAAAAAAAAAATTCTGGTTTTTCACACCTGTGTTAAAGAAGAAGCCCGTGTGGCAAACTGCTTTTGAGAAAAGCATCTCAGTAAATCCTCTTGCTTTCTGAAGTTACTGAAGACAGAGACTCTGGAGTGAGGAGAAGCAAACACACATCCCTTACACAGCTTGTCAAACATATGGAGAAGATCCAGCTAGAAACAAAGCCCATCTCCCAGTCTCCATCCTTTGTGAATTCTGTTTCTATTATATGAATCACTACAGAGCTGACTGACATAGACGGGATCAGATATAGCCTGGCTGCTTCCAGGGCAAAGTGCCTGCAAGGAACAGGGAACATGAACATCCTCCAGGTAGAAATCAGGAGGAAAATTCTCCCAAACAGGACCTCACAGATGAGTTTGAGCACCCTTCAAGGAAATGGGGGTTGGATTAGGAGAAAAGCCTTTGAGTCTTTAGTTGGTGGAGGGCTAGATAATGCTAGTAAATATCATGTGAATGTTCTTACTGAATTTTTAAAGAAGGAACATGGCCAGGCATGCTGGCTCATGCCTGTAATCCCAGCATTTTGGGAGGCTGAGGTGGGAGAGTCACTTGAGCCCAGGAGTTCAAGACTAGCCTGGACAACACAGGAAGACTCTGTCTCTACACAAAAATAAAACAGAAACATACTATTATGCATGCCTTCATTGAATAGATATTAATATATTACATAAGTGAGCCAAGCACTGGTCTAAGCACTAAGGGTTTGGCACTATGCAATACAGACAAAGAAGAAAAAAATAAAATAAAAATCCTTGCCTTTATAGAACCTACATTCTAATCAGGAGAGAGAGACAACAAACAAGATCAATGAGTTAGGAACATGGTAGATTTGAGTGGTGATAAGTGGTGAAGAGCAGATCAAACTGAGACTGGGTCTAAGAACACGTGAAGGCAAAAACTGTGGCAACAACTGCAAGAATAGGGTGCCAAGCATAGGGAAGATCAAGTGTGAAGGCCCAGAAGAGCAGTTTTATGTTCCAGAAACAGCACAGAGGTCAGCACAGCTGCTGGGGAATGAACCAGATGGACAAGAGCAGAAGAGGTCAGAAAGCAAAGAGGACCTAGATCTTGGGAGACCTCTGGGAGACTTTGGCTTGTATGTAGAGTGAGACAGAAAAGTTGGAGGCTGAGGGCAAGAAAGTGACATGACCTGACATTAGTTTGACCACCATTCTGGCTGCTGTGTTAAAAAATGACTGAAAAAGAGCAAGCTCTGAGCAGGATACCAGTTAAGATCCACTGAAATAGCACAGCCAGAAACCACTGGGGCTTGGACAAGGTGCCAGCAAGGGAGGTGGTGAAGGCCAGTCAAATTCTGGCTGTGTTTTAGCTGTACAGACAGCAGGTTGTGATGGCCAAACTGCTGGTACATTTCCTCCTGTGCCAGAAGGGGTCTCTTTCACAATGTTCCACCTACATCAAAGCAGCCAATGTAGATTGGCTGAGGGCAGCAAATGTTCGCTGGTTAGGGATTAGGAACTTAACATGAAAAGAAACAGTATTTCAACAGGGTAGAATCCTCTCAAGTGAAGGATTTGGTTTTAACAGATTTATATTTCCATAACATGTTAAGGGATACACAAGAACAACAGCAATAACAAACACATCTTTCAAGAGAGATAGGGGCTGCTAATTGCAAGGCTTTAGATTTTCTGAGTGTGTCATGCTAGTTGAGAGTGAAGGCTAAAAAGATAAGAATATCGGGCAAATTTTTCCAGTGGTGTGGTCGTTTTATCCATAGCACTCAAAGGCAGAATGCCAAGGATCTGCAGACCTACAGGGCCTTCTAAAAATATGTCAGGCCTGAAAAAATCATCAGCTCCAAAACACGAAAAGAAAACTGCAAAGTGAAAATTAATAAATATTTAATTAAATTTTAATTAAATGCCTACAAATGCATAACCTATGTCAACTTCATTAATTGTTAAAATTTGAATTCATAAAAAATGTCATGATGCATGAGAACAATTTTAGGTTATATTTTCTCACTTTGCAAGAATCCATAAGTTATGATTAATGCAGTACAATCAGAGCCAAATGTAATTTTATTATAAGTCACTTCTAGCAAAATAATTTCAAAAGCAATATTATACCAATCCTTTAAAACTGTTTACTGCAAAAAGTCATTTGGTGTGTTGTTTGGGTGTTATATCTGAGAAAGGGGAGGCAAAGTGTCTGACTGAAGTCAGAGGGAATCTTCAGGGGCAATGGAGATATGACCCAGAGAGACTTTGTTTAATGTCTTCATTCCCCATGAAGTCTTCAGGGAGAAGTCTAATATCTTGTGGAGTTAAAACCCACCAAAATGCTGATCCTGTTTCAAGGTAGGATTGGAACAAGATCAGAGTCTGTCTAGGTAGGGAAAATTAAGTCTGGGTAGCTTTGAATTATATTAAATATTGACTCTGACCATGCTTTAAATTAAACAAGCTAAAAACAATAAATGTAGAGATGACTGTTTTGGAAAAATATAAACTGAAGTTTTGGTTTTTGTTTGCAAAATGTTTGGATTCATTATGTTCAAGAATGAATGTTTGTGCTATGTTTATAATTTGTAGATTGTCTGACAGAAAAAAATAAAGCTTACTGCTTTAAAAATGAACACGAAATCTTAGAAAAAGGAATGTTACAAATTAGTTACCCAGAAAATTTTTTCTGGCCTTAACAAAGGAAAAGCTACAAACGACAGCGGCATGTACCACTTCCATAACAAGGCCAGGATGGAATATACTGACAGGAGTATTTCCACAGTTAACAAGAGGGAAAAAAAGAAGTAAAAATAGCTTTTAAAAAAACTTTCAGCAATAAATTGTCATCTTATTAAAAAGTAAGTTGCTGGGATACTGTATGTATTAAATCATTGCAATAATGGGAAGATTTGCACCAAGATTTGCAGCCATTATGAGGCCATGACTAGAAAAGTCACCATTATTCAAGTCTGATCACTTGAAATGCCAAACTTTTAACACCTCCCTTTCCTATTTTCCAACTGAAAATGAACCTCCTTTCCAATCCAAAGAAAATATAGGAAATGCAGTGAGGATATATCTTTTTATTATTATTATTGTACTTTAAGGTCTAGGATACATGTGCAGAACGTGCAGGTTTATTACATAGGTAAACACGTGCCATTGTGTCTTGCTGCACCCATCAACCTGTTATCTGCATTAGGTATTTCTCCTAATGCTATCCCTCCTCTAGTCCCCCAACTCCCCACAGGTCCCGGTGAGTGATGTTCCCCTCCCTGTGTCCATGTGTTCTCATTGTTCAACTCCCTTATAAGTGAGAACATGCTGTGTTTGGTTTTCTGTTCCTGTGTTAGTTTGCTGAAAATGATGGTCCCCAGCTTCATCCATGTCCCTGCAAAGACACAAATTCATTTTTTATGGCTGCATAGTATTCCATGGTGTATATGTGCCACATTTTCTTTATGCAGTCTATCACTGATGGGCATTTGGATTGGTTCCAAGTCTTTGATATTGTGAACAGTGCCGCAATAAACATATATGTGCATGTGTCTTTATAGTAGAATGATTTATAATCATTTGGGTATATACCCAGTAATGGAATTTCTCAGTCAAATGGTATTTCTAGTTCTAGATCCTTGAGGAATCGCCACACTGTCTTCCACAATGGTTGAAATAATTTACACTCCCATCAACAGTATAAAACTGTTCCTATTTCTCCACATCCTCTCCAGCATCTGTTGTTTCCTGACTTTTTAGTGATCACCATTCTAACTGGCATGAGATGGTATCTCATCGTGGTTTTGATTTGCATTTCTCTAATGACCCAGTGATGATGAGCTTTTTTCAATATGTTTGTTGGCTGTGTAAATGTCTTCTTTTGAGATGTGCCTGTTCATATCCTTTGCTCACTTTTCCATGGGGTTGTTTTTTTCTTGTAAATGTGTTTAAGTTCCTTGCAGATTTTGGAGATTAGCCCTTTGTCAGATGGATAGATTGCAAAAATTTTCTCCCATTCTGTAGGTTGCCTGTTCACTCTGATGGTAGTGTCTTTTGCTGTGCGGAAGCTGTTTAGTTTAATGAGATCCCATTTGTCAATTTTGGCTTTTGTTGCCATTGCTTTTGGTGTTTTAGACATGAAGTCCTTGCTCATGCCTATGTCCTAAATAGTATTGCCTAGGTTTTCTTCTAGGTTTTTTTTGGTTTTGGGTCTTATGTTTAAGTCTTTAATCCATCTTGAGTTATTTCAGGCCAATATCCCTGATGAACTTCGATGTGAAAATCCTCAATAAGATACTGGCAAACTGAGGATGTATCTTTATATTTTTTATTTGCTGTCCTATTTTTAGTTCCTATTCACTACAAATCCCTTTTTTTTCACTTTCTATGGGAGGGGGGAATAGGTTTTTACAAAGTTTTCAAACATCTTTTTTTTAAAAAAATAATTTCAGGGTATAGTGGTCTAAAAGACATCTTATTCCCAGACAAAATGCAAGGCTCTAAAAGCTCATTAAAATCACTAGGCGGTGAGAATAAGGGAGCATTCAAGGGCTCTCGCCTCGCCTGGGATTCCAACAGGTTTGTGTTTGAATACCTCTGCTCCTTACTAACTAGCCTTCTCACTAACTTCTGTAAGACATAATTCCTTATTTGGTAACTCATAGGGTTTTTGTAATAATTCTATTATAGGATATATGTAAAACTTTATCAAATGTATGAGGTCAGAAAGCTACACTGAACCACATTATGTCCAGTTCACTAATGTATCTTCGAGAGGAAATTATATAAGAGATAAAGTTTAAAATCTTTTATATTTATATTTAAAATATTTACCATAAAATTTTTCATTATGAAGTTATTTAATCTATCCAGAATAAACTTTCTAACCAACAAACACAGCACACTCTGATGCTTTAGAGTAGGTGTTAAAGGCCATAGAGTACCTTAACCTTTAGATGGGATGTGATGGCATGTGATGGCCCATTAGTTATCTCCTCATTATCAACACCTACCCTCTCCCGAGACCTACTGTGTATCTGTCCTGTGCTGGGCCTCATCAGTGGTGCCTGCTATTCCCTGACTGTGATCTGTTGCTCTGGGGTATTCCATTTCACTCTTTACTAGGATTGGTTGTATTCAAAGAAACTAAATCTAATGTGTTGATCCTAGATCTTATTACTGAACAAATGTCAGCTCTACCACCCCACTCATCTCGTTACAGCATCTTTTAGTTATGCAAATTGGATATGCCTCATTCACTAATGCTGGTAACCTGTGAGCCCCCATTGGGAGTTAGAGTCACAATCCACAGATTAAATGAGTTAGTAATCTTGAGTACTTTCACCTGTGCTCAGCACAGTGTTAACATCATATCAATATTGGCTTTTAAGAGCCAAAGAAATAAAAATCATCAATTGGTTTACCACATGGGTAGAGGTACAGAATTCATTTTGGCTTGAAAAGTAAGGATTTGACTCAAGTCTTAGGCAGATGGAGCACAAAATTATTTTCTTCTTTAATGCATGTTACAGGCCATTAATAAGGCTTAGAATTCCCATTTGTGCGCAGATATGAGTAACCTCAGCAAATTGAGAAAGTAACCCCAGAATTGTGTGGGATGATAAACTGTTCCTGTTCCCTTGTATCTTCCAACCTACACTTAGAATTAAGCACACAAGAACATTTGAGAGAATCTACCCCGTTACTTTTATGTATTTGGTTAAGGAATTAGTGCTTGTTCGGTATTTTATGTTCCTTAAAGTTTTAAAGGAATTTAACCCATAAGAATAAATTAAAATGTCTAACTCAGTACTGGATTTAGGCTTATATTAAAGTTTAAATGTTATCATTTATCTATAGGATTGGAACATTAATAGCCTTTAGGATTCAATATATCTATAAGTTTAATCTACTGAAAGTTATTTAAATACTCAAGATTTTGTTTAAATCAAACAAGAAAAATATTTTAAAAGGAAATCAAATATGTTTTCTATATAAATGCCATTTTTAATGTTTGTAGATGTTTAATTAAATTGAAAAATGAGATAAAATTTTATTCAAAAGTCTCCTTAAAGTGATTATTACAATGTGCTAGACTATTATAATAAACAGAATAAAAAATTTTGTAGAAACTACATTTTTTATTTTACAACTACAATGAGTGGAATACTAATTTTTAAAAACATCCACAATGTCTTTTGTTATTATTCTCATAATTATCACTATCATTGTATTTATTGGTCTGCTAGAACTGCTGTAATGAAGTACCATATACTGGGTGGTTTATTCAACAGAAATTTACTGTCTCACCATTTTGGAAGCTAGATATCCAAGATGAAGGTGTCCTCAGTTGTAGTTCTTTAAGGTCTGTGGGGGAGAATCTGTTTCATACCTCTCTTATAGTTTCTGGTGGTTTGCTGGAAATCTTTAGCATTATTTGGCTTGTACAATAATCATCCTCATCTCTGCCTTCATCTTTACATAGCATTCACCCTGTATGAAAGTCTCTCTCTACAATTTCTCCTTTTATAAGGACACCAATCACATTGATTGAGAGACCATCTAATGTCCTCATTTGTCCTCAGGGAGCTCAACATAACTGTCTTGAAAAACACAATTCAACCCGTAACACTGCCTATCACAGGTTTTCAACATTTCTTTCAAACATGTTTAAATTATTCTCTTAATTAATTTGTGTTTTTCTTATATAATATACCAGGGTTTTTTTTTTGTTTTTTGTTTTTTGTTTTTTTAAGACAGAGTGTTGCTCTGTCGCCCAGGCTGGAGTGCACTGGCGTGATCTGACCCACTGCAACCTCCACCTCCTGGGTTCAAGTGATTCTCCTGCCTCAGCCTCCCGAGTAGCTGGGATTACAGGCACGTGCCACCACATGCAGCTAATTTTTGTATTTTCAGTAGAGATGGGGTTTCACCATGTTGGCCAGGATGGTCTCGATCTCTCTTGACCTTGTGATCCACCCACCTCTGCCTCCCAAAGTGCTGGGATTACAGGCGTGAGCCACCGCACCCGACCGTAATGTACCAGTTTTTAAACTGATGACACACAGTACTGTGTTCAAATCCTGGCTCTACCACTTGTCCTGTGATGAAATTACTTTCTATGTTTTTGTTTCTATAAAACAAGAATGGTAATATACTCCTTGAAGTGCTATTATGAGAATTAAAAAAAATTAAAGTCATCCAGAATAATGTCTTATAAACAATGGAATCTCAGTTAGTGAAAGCTTCTGCCACTACTATTACAATATCTATCTTTACTGTTTCTTATTCTTGGAGGCAAAGAAATATCTGTTCTTATGAGTATTTAAGTTGCCAATTGTTTTAGTGTCCGTTGGTTGGTCTAACAAATTATCACAAACCTAGTAGCTTAAAGCAACACCAATTTATTCTCTTACTGTTCTGGAGGTAGGACAGAAGTCTGAAATGAAGCTCAGCGGACTAAAATCAAGGTGTGAGTATGCTGATTCCTCCTGGAGGCTCCAGGGGAGACTCTGTTCCTTGCTTCTCCCAGCACCTGCAGGCTGTCATCACTCTGGCTTGTGGCCACATCACTCCAACCTCCGCTTCCATCATCATCACATTGCCTTCTCCTCCCTGACTGTAATTCTACTGCCTCCCATTCCTAAAGCCCCTTATGATTATATGGGGCCAACCAGAACAATCAGCATAGTCCCTCCATCCCCAGATTCTTAATTTAGTCAGGGCTTCAAAGCCACTTTTACCATATAAGGTAACATATACACACTTATCATCCTCAATTTATGATGATTCTACTTATGATTTTTTGACTTTACAATAGTGTGGAAGTTATACCATTGAGTAGAAACTGTACTTTGAATTTTGAATTTTGGTCTTTTCTAGGGCCAGAGATATGCAGTACAATACTATCACACAATGCTGGGCTGTAGCATTGAACTGTAGCTATTCATCAGCCATAAATTACAACGGCAAACAAGTAATACTCTACAGTGTACTGTGTGGCCAAATGATTTTGCCCAACTGTAGACTAATGTAAGTGTTTTCAGCACTTTTAAGGAAGGCTGAGCTAAACCATGATGTTCCTTAAGTCAAGTGTATTAAATGCATTTTTGACTGATGATATTTTCAAGTTATGACAGGTTTATCCATTGTAAGTTGAGGAACCTCTGTGTTCACAGGTTCTAGAGATTAGCACATGGACATCTTTGGGGGGACATTTTTATTCAGCCTACCGTGCCAATTTGGATTAAAACATTTTTTCCGCCATCTTAAAATAGGAGTTCTTGTTAAGTTATAGAATATTTCAGAAGAATGTCAACAATGTGTGCCTATGTAAGTGTGTGCATAAGATGTGTTAGGGGAAGTAAATTTTTAAGTTATGATGATATGACTTCAATAAATATTAAACTAAGAACAAATATATTTTAGCATTAATATTTTCAATTTAACAAAAACTAACATGGGATTTATAACATTTCTTTAAAAAGCTCAATGTGGTGTTAGTATAACCCAAATAATTTATGATTGTGTCACTGGTTAAATTCACTTTTAGGTACTATGAAAAAACAGAATATTTTACAGATAAGGAAACTGAGACAGAATGGAGGATGGGAAATAGGGGCGTATGTGACATTATACAAAAAAATGTCATGGTACTGCCAAAATAGAATCCTGAGTTTCAGTTCAGAGTTGAAGAAGAAAATATTATTTCCTTGAAAAGGGATTTCACCCTACCTCACCAAGTAAGGTAGAGCATTACTATCTCAGAAGGAGGCATATAAGTGTCTGATAAGATTGGGGTCCAAGACCAGGAAGAACTGAGGATACAGAGGTCCCACATGGTCCGAACAGAAATGGAGCTGGACATCCCACAGATGTCTCACATAGCTGCAAAGCACAGTGTAAGGAAATTGAGCCCATTACAAAAAGCAACAGAGGTAGACATTAATCTTCAGATTCAAAAGTTCAGCTAGCACCTCCTCCTTCCCCTTCCACAATTTCTCACTGGCATGTCTACATGTTAAAATTTAAATTTAGGAACAATTTGGAGTTAGGACAACGCACAGAATACAAGTAAAGAAAAAAATAAACCTAGAATGAGAAGCAGGAGACCAAGATTTTTAATTCTAATAATATGGAAGATAAGATATCATTAATATCATCCTACTTCAAAACACTAAGACATTCTGGGTAATATATAACAAATATCATTTTAAATATACAGCTTTGGTCCTGAGAAATCAAGGGGATTTCCCCAAGGCCAAAAGTAAAGAGAAAGTTGAAAGCCAGAGAGTTAAGCTGATGCTTTCACTGCCTTGGAAGCAGTCAGTTTTAAAGGCTTTCCTTAACTTTAAGCATGTTAATTCAATTATGCACGTAAAAGTTTTGAGAATGAAATCACCATCAAAAAGTAGAATATCTCAACCAGGAGTGCAGAAATTACGTATATGAAAAAAACAGAGAATCAGGGAACTACTTGAGGGGCACAGGTGAAATACTTTTTATCTTGGACCCAGCATATCCTTTTCAAGCATTTGACAATAAATATCACACAAAATATCATTTTGGGGTGGAATGATAGCAAAATTTCAACGCTCTGTTTATGCTTAAGTCATGCTCTACAGGGTTGTTTGATGCTTATCATCTCTAAGAATCTGTCTAAAATTTAGCAAATCTTTGGTTATAGTGTTTACCTTCCTTTTCTCCCTTCTTCCAATGTCTTCCCTCTTTTTTCTTCTCCTTTTCATCTTTAGCTAATGCCAATATCTGTTTAATAAATATTATTGCCCAGCTGATTTTATCCTAAAACTTATCAATGTGTCTCTTACTTCATCTTGTGTCTCACCTACAACCTTCCTCTGGGGGAAAGAAGTCCCTCTTCCCCCCACCGCCCCACTTTGGTGCATGACCAAACTCATAATTTTACTGCTTTGGATTCTGGCACTTAGGAATCATTACCTTGCATAATTCTCTTTCTCATGTCTCTTCTCTCTCTCTCTCTTTCTCCCCCACCCCCCGAATTTAACTTTGCTCGTGTTTCTCATAATAATAAATCGAAATAAAACCTTTTCCTCCACGATTTTATAGCCCTCTTTTCCATCTATTTTTTTCTTTTACTAATCAGCACTGCTGAAAGCATAACCTACACACATTTTCTATTTTCAAAACCTTCATTTCCAAACCTCCAAATTTCATACAGGCTGTTACCCCCTTAATCTTTCTTACTTGACTAAAACTCCTTACTCATGCTCAGTAGTGACTTGCTTGATGTTAAATCCAATGACAAGTTTGATTGTTGATCTTTACTGTCTTCTCTGCAGCTTGGAGCATTAATGATCCACTCCTCCATCTTAATCACTTTCTCTATCTTGAAAGTGTTTTTTATTGTGTGTGTGTGATACTATTGTTTTTTAAAAATTCTGCCCCTACTGTGACAAGAATTTCCAAATTCCCAATCCTCATTTCATCTAAAGCACTACATAAAGGAATTCTCCCCCAGTCAGAAAATAGAGGAAGGATATTAGAAAATTAATGACCTTCATGGAACTGTGGCAAGTTAATAATCATTAGTAGACTCAGATTTAAAATCTTACTCATGGCAATAAAAGAAAACCTCATGTTTTCTCTGTTTATCTGTTTTATTCTTTTCTTTCACTGTCATTTTCTTTTGTTCTGAAGTTCTTTTTGGTCATTGATTTACTTGAGATTGCATTTCATGTCTAATATTTACCTATGCATGAAGCAGTGATTTGTAAGCCTTGAGTACTAGTCAGGTATTTCAATTTAGAAGCAATTATTTGATATAGCAGATTTAAAACCATAATTTACTAGGTATAAACTTGTGTAGAAACCTGAAATTCTGGTAATGAAGAAATAGCCACAATGTTTAGGATCTTCTAAGTCAAAAAATTCAACAAGAAATTTAAATTTCAATTCAATTCAACAAAGAATCCTAACTCAGATTGTGTAAGGAAAACATTATTAGGACTGGGCCCATGAACTTTGATGCTCCAACACAAAAAGACTATGCTCATGTAAAGTTTACCCAGAACCTTTTCCATAAGTATGTCTTCTACTAACACAATATTTCCATAGAACCCTGAATTTGTTTGCAAACTCTGTTCCAGAAGGACATTATGTTGAGTACACTGGACTATATATTGGTGGTTATGAAATTTTTTAAGAGACAGATATCATAATGTCTAGTGTGTTTCCAAATTGAATTTCAAAATGTAGAAGTTATTTGTGTAAATAACCATCCTGCTACATCAGATAATTTCAATTTATTTCTTTTTGCTTGATACAGTTTATTGATTAGACCCAGTACAGAAAGTAGGACTGAATTTGATGGCATATCTCACCACAATGGGATGAACTACGGTGTTCTTAAATAACTCAACTAAGGCACATGAAGAAAGCTATCTTTTTCACTGGTACTCTATAAAACTAATGAAATTACCCTTAATAAGCACGGAAAATGTTCTGACTCTTATAGAATCCCATTAAAACTTGAAGAGATTGATTGTTCTTAGAAATAGCCTTTGCTTCTCCTAAAGTTTCATGGAATTACATATAAAGTCTCCTATACCCAAAGAACCAACTTTAAAAAGTTCTTACAAGCTGACTGTCCTCAAACTGCCAGCTAGAGAAGCAAGAATGTCAACTAAACACTACCAAGATGTATTGCTTTACAAAAACAAGCAAACAACAGTCATTAGTGAGAAGGTGATGTGAGAGTGTTCAGAAAGAAGTGAATGAGCCACTTATTGGAAACATACTTCAGTTACAAATACCAGATGTTATTATCCTATTTTCCACATATAAATATGAGGCTGAGATAGTCAGTGTAAGAACTGAAATTAGGAACTCTATATTAAAGTATGCATAATAAATTATCTCTTAAAAATAATATAAAATAAATATTTTTTAAGAAATAAATTTCTAAGAAATAATTATTGCATGACAATTAGACTGCAGTGATGGAGCTAAGCATTGATGGGAATCAGAGACATATTTTGCACAATAACCAATCTCAAAAGCCTTACAATTTAGCACAGAAAAAGTAATATGCATTCATAACACGACTATGACACAAGGTGACTAAGATATTGCCATAATAGAAGTACAAACAAAATGCTCTTGTAACAAAGAAGAGGAAAACATTTTTTTCAATAAAGTGATTTTTGGGTGAAGCATAGGAATTTTACTAGTATTTCACAGGAGTATGGAATTCCAAGATAAAGGAATCTCATTAGTAAAGACATAAAATTATAAGGGTGCATCTGACGTAGGGAGGTCAGCACATTACATGCTTGGACTTGACTACTGCAAATGTATGAATGTATAAAGGGAAATGTCACAAACAGGGCAAGGTATACCAGAGCAGATAAAAGTAGTCTTTATAGACAATTAGGAGTCACTGATGATTTTTGAGGATGCACATAATATAAACTTACCAAACTTAAAATTTTAGAACAAAAAATGTTGATAGTAATATTAAAATGTCACACAGGCTGTAGTTAATAGTATTCAATAAAACCTTTGAAGAGTCAGGCACAGTGACTCACGCCTGTAATCCCAGCACTTTGGGAGGCTAAGGCGGGCAGATCATGAGGTCAGGAGTTCCAGACCAGCCTGGCTAATATGGTAAAACCCCGTCTCTACTAAAAATACAAAAATTAGCTAGGCATGGTGGTGCACACTGTAGTCACAGCTACTCAGGAGCCTAAGGCAGAAGAATCGCTTGAACCCGGGAGGCGGGGTTGCAGTGAGCCGAGATCGCGCCACTGCACTCCAGCCTGGGCGACAGAGCGAGAAAGACTCCATCTCAAAAAAAAAAAAAAAAAAAAAAAAAAGTTGAAGAAGAGAAAGCTGAAGATAGAGAAGCTATCCTGATAATCTAGGTAAGAAACAATTAGGACAAGTGCTACATCAGAGTCCAGGAATACAAAATAAAGAACAGTAGTAAGTAACGAGCAGTGTTAATAAGCAACCTATAATCAGTAAACTACAATCAGTGCTCCATTTAGTATACACTGCCTTTATGGAAGCTGTAGTATAAAATAGTATCCAGTGTAATAAATGGAAATCATAATCCTGAACAAAAGCTTTCAATAAATCATCATAATCATGAATATAAATACAATATATAAGGCTGAACAATTTAAATTTGTAAAAAAGCCCTGCTTTCACATCTGCAACCCAGTTAAGGAGACAGGATTTTCACTTGAAAACCATAAATTTAAGCAGAGAGCTACATTTGCTAAGTTCCCAGCAAGTAACATGGACACTAGGTGGGAAAGCAGCTGAGAAGGGATGGGATAGGATGGGTATCAGAGTGTTGTGGAGTAAGTGGAGCTTAAGTTAAATCATCAGGACAAAATTATGCCCAAGGAAAGACGAAAAAGGGGAGGACATTTTGGGCAACAAAAGATAATGTTCGGAACTATAAATAAAATTAGGCAGCAATGAAAGAAAATTGTTAGGAGAACATAGTGAGGATATCTTTAAAGAGATAGGAAGTAATCAAAGTGTACAGGATGCTAAATTGTAAGCTGAAAATGGGATATCGTTTCAGCAGCCATAGTCCTTTAAAATGTTTAAGGAAAAGATGCGTCAAAGCAGTTTATTGGGAATTTGCTTTCTGCTACTGTAGTAGGATCTGGACCAAGGTAGAGCAAGTGAAAAAGAAAAGGAAGACATAGAAGTAAATAGAGAAAGGACATGGTGATTTAATGTCTATAAATGAATGTCTTCATTCATTGGGAATGAAGTCAGGTATGGCTCCAAGTTCTTAAGCTAGGATCTTGGGGGAATTATTATGCCAATGATTGAAATAAAAAATGTGAGATATGAAGTATATTTCAGAAAAGAGAGTGAATATGTTGTCAGATCATTGAAAATTAGGTAATGGTTAAAGATCCAACTGGCAGTTAGAGAGCCAGGGTGAATGCTCAGGGACCAAGTCAGGGCTGCAGGTATATGTAATAAATGTATAAAATATGAAATGACAATCAAATAATAAAATGACTAATGTTGATACCATTTGATATAGTTAAGCTACAAGGCAGACAAGAGCAATAAATGAATTATATACACTGGTTACAGAGATATGGGAAAAATAAGTTAATTGCCCTTCTCTCAGGAAGTTTAAAACTTAATTGACAGGAAATATATTATTTAAATATTATATATATACATATGTACATAATAAAGATACTAAACTATAACACATAATAGTGGTATAAATATCTAAAGTGGCTTAGACAAGATTTATGAAAATTAGTGACATGCTAACTAATGCTTAAACGATGAGTAGGAGCTCTCCTTATGGGATGGAGATAAGGGGCATTTCAAATACAGAGCAGAGCATGTGCAAAGCTACAGAGGCATCTAACACTCAGGGATCTGTAAGTAGTTAGTTAAGGTGTGAACGTAGGTTGTATTGGGGAACTGGTGGTAGGTTAGAGAGGCAGTTAAAGAGCAGAATATAGAAAGTCAAGCATGTCATATTTAGGAAATTAAGAAGACACTGAACGTTTTTTTAACAGCAGAGTGGCAATCATCAGATATTCCTCTTTCCAGATTCTCATCCAGATTCCCCTGTTCTGCCTTCCCCCAGGTTCTGTAGCTCTGAACTCCTTGTGCATGCCATACATATTATTACCCTAAACTGAACCACTTGCTCTCTCTAACATTGATCAAAAATTAGACTTCAATGCCTTGAAACAAATGTTGTGTCAAATATTTTCTCAAATACTGTTTGGTCTCTTTATTTTAAATGCTATCATTTTTCTGTTTCTATTTTATAGGCTACAAACCAATTTCATGCAGTAACTTTTGGAGATGGCACTCTTCTCCAGTGTGAATATAATTTGCAAAATAAATTCTGTGATTATCTACAAAATATATAGTAATGCATTTTCAAACCATATAGGAGAAAAGGAGGATTTGAAGAGTCTCCTTCGATAATCATCCTTTATTATTAAAAAAATTGAAATGTCCTTATGTTTGTTTTTTGTCTCTCAAATGTAGCCTGACTTCAGAAGTTGAGTTAAAAATTATTAGTGTTTCTCTTTTTGAGATTTTCTATTTGGCTGTTTTCTGCCTATCACACAAAGATTGCATCAACTGAACCATTCCTTTAATGTATAATTGGGATGATCAACAAAGTAAGTGTGCTTCAAAGCAACAATATAAAAGTCCAATAATTTATAAATAGGAGAAGAAAGTGGATTGTAAAAATAGTAATAATTTTGATGTGATTACTTAAGTATGCCTAAAACTTAGGATGAAATAAATTCACCAGCTATTTTATCAGGTATAAGAACAATACAGGATTCCAATTTACAAACAACCAGAATTCCTGTTTGTGCAACATATATATCATCCCTTCAAATTAAAATTTTTTCATTAATAATGGAAAAGGGGTCAGTAACAAAAAGAAATATATTCCTGTGTTAGTTTCATTGTTGACTTTACATATCTTATTTCATAATTATTTCATAGTATAGGTATTAGTATTTTGAAATTCCCAAATGGCATTCCAGAAGGTTGATTTATATATCTTTATTGCTGATGGAATAGTGTGAAATGTCACAGGCTCTAAAACCACTTTCCCTTTTATATTTCACTTCACAACTTCAGGCTAATATTAAAACATTTAGTAGAGTCTGATCATTTCCTGCTGGTTGGATTGTATTAAAAATATATTGCTTTATGGGCATAGAAATTAAATATGTGAACAATCAGCCTTTGTAAGAATATACCATATGTTAACCTAAGTAAGAGCAATAAAATATAAACAGAATGTGAAGATTTAGAACATTCTCATAATGTATGTTCTTTTTATGAACTAACTGCTCTGTTGTGGATTATATTGTACAGACCAGAAAAAAACACATAATTTTACAGAATTTTTTTTCATGTAGTTTTTAAGATGATAAAACTAAACTAATCTCTAGTTGAGTTTTCATCATAAATCACTTCTAAGGTGAGAAGCTACCTGATGGACTGTTCTGACATCTTGACAATAAAAAAGAGCTTATGACAGTTCTGGGGGGAGGAGGAATTGTTCCAAAATGTTTTCCAACAATTAAGCAGTAAATCAATGACTGACAGGATTGCTAGGCTGCCACATCTTACCATGGTTACATGAAATTTGATTACAATATAATATGCAATTTTTCCCAATCCTGAATGTGACCCAGTTGGAAAAAAGTTACCCCTATACATCTGATTTCAAAAATCCTAGTTGAAGTCTTGTTTGCACACAACCATGTAATTTCTAAGAGAATGTCACAACTATTTCAACAGTTGCTTACTGAAAGCCCAGGAAGTGTTATTCCAGAAAAAAAAAAAATTGTAGCATTATTTTACTTCTCTCATTTAATGATTGTGTTTGTTCATTCGCCCAGATTTTTAGCAATGAATAAATTTAATAATTCAACTGAAATAAGAAAATTATTCTACTTCTTTGAAAGGAAATAAAATGTAATACTTTTAAATGTATGCTAACTTTAACTGCATATATTATAGAATAATACAGTAAAGAGTGTAAGAGAATGTGGGAACTTTATTTTGTATATCAAAAATAACCCAACTGATTTATCTGCAGACTCACTACAACCTATCCATTAAACTGAATTTCTTATAGAAAAAGCTGTGATCAATTTCAAAGAAAGCTGAATTATGCTCAATATTTGCAAGTGGCACTCATGTAACAGCAATGCCAGATAGGCTTTCTTGAAAAGCGTTACGTGTAAAAGTGTAAGAGCTTCCTTTAAAAAAAAAAAAAAGATTAAAAGAAAAAGAAAACTCAGGCATGTACTCACAGATAATAATCTCCTTACCTGGAAGAATTACAGGAAAATGAAAAGAAAAAAGTAAAGATATCTTTGTAATACCATATTCTATGATGTCAACTTATGTCCCTGATATTTGAGTCAATCTTTGAAGACATAGGATACTAATGCTTTCATTTCCATTTTGTTTTCGTTTAAATTCATTTCCAAAGTTACTGTTCGTATGAAGTGATCAGGCTATTCTTCTTTAAACTGTGTTGCATATACTTATATGCCACCATACAAAATAAACATAATTGAAATGTATTTACTTATGTATTGGAGTTTATATAATTTTGCAAATACAGAATAGTCCTCAGACATAATTTATCATTCTGCTAGATGACATATTTTAGTAGAAGCCTTCATTAGTTGGTATCTTCATCTTTTTTAGTCCCAGGATTTAAATCAGGTCAAAAATCTCTTAGGATCACAGAGCCCGCAGATTTTCTTGATAAGGTCTGCTACAGATAGGTGATATAAAAGCAACGTTTAAATTTAATTTGTTTTAATTTTGAAATTTAATTTGCTTCTGAAATCAGAATTGAAGTGGTGTCTTAGAGTTATTTATCATGCAAGAGAACAAAGGTGCCCTGTGAAGCAGCAGTTTCACCCTGTAAATGGTAGCTGCTTACATCCCAATCTCTGCCTGCATGCTGTAACAGTAACATTATGCCATTCTAGGATAACATTGTTATTTATAATTTTAATACTATTTATGTATTTGCTCATTTCCTTATTTATTTATGTAAAGAGTTATTAATAACTGCACTTAACTCATTTGGTCCATCTTGGTAAAATGAATAACAAATTGGTGTTTTGGGGGCAATGTACCACGCAAAATGCTAATGGGATTCCTGAATGGAAGACATCCAGCATGGATCAAGACCTTGCCCATATGTGGTGTTTTTGTCTAAGCAATCTTTTTATAAGCTTTTTATTGCTTCAAGAGCTACCGAAGCAAACAGAGACATATTATTTATTAATTGTGCACCGTTAATAGCGAGGTCTCACCAACTGCCAATCCATATGGACGTAAAGCCCTCAGTCCTAAATCTGCTCAGATTAATTTCTTTCAACGGCATCCAACAGTGTGAGGGCGAAGTGAGAACCAGGTTGTGCTCCTGCCTTTTTATGCCATGCTTGGCAGATTAGTTCACTAGGACTTCTTTACAAGCACAAAAAGCTGCAGTACTTCTCAGTCCTGTCCAGGCTAGAGATTTGCTGAGATGAAGATAAAAGGACTTTAGATCTGTTCTGTTTTTTCCAGATCCTCTCCAAAGCCTGTATAATCCTTTTGTTTCAGAAAAAAAAAGATTTTTAAAAAAGATAAGAAACATGTTTCAACAAACCCAAACAGCTACAATATCTAATTACATTAAGGAGAACTCTTAGTTGAAAAAGTTAAAAAAAAAAATAGGTCCAGTTGAAGTTTCAAGAAGTTTGTGATTACTGGTTAATTTCAGTAATAAAATTCTTTATGTAAAATATAAAAACGTATTAACCTAATCATCACCACATCCACACACAATGTATGTATGTATACAATATATGCCAAATTTCATTATATTAATTTTTTAAAATTGGGTTATATTCTGGTCTTTTCTAAATTTGCAAGCTAACTTAACATTGCTAGATGAATATCAGTTCAGAGAAAGTACCATCATTTAGCTACTTCCAAAGCTATTTTGTGCTGGTTGCCCACTCCCATTTTTACAGAGCAAGCATGATCATTTGAAGAGTCTTGACTTTTCCCTACTCTCTTCTACATTGAATGGAGGTTTTGAGTGTGTATATGTTTTAATAATGAATTCAACTGCAAACTGAAAGCATTTTAGTTGCCCTTCAAGGCAGTATCTTCATTCTGCAAACTAGCTGTTCAATAAACTGTTAGAAAACTAAGTTACTAGTTTGTTCAGTAAATTTTTAGTACACTGTTGGAAAAGTTAAAAACTACTGAATTTGTGAGACGTCTCTGCTCAAATGGGAATTCTTAAATCTGACCTCACTCTCCGTGTTGGGAAAAAATAAGACAAAGTGTGTTTTTGTTTTTAAAGGCAACTGTAGAGAAAAGCTGGGACTCTTAGCAGTAGAAACTATAGATATATTTTAAAATCTAGAACCCTAGTTACTTTAATCTTTTCTACTCAGTGCTTAAAGCAGTTAAGTAGGCATATACCCAATAAGAAATGTGTTTGAAGAAGCCTATTAGGTAAGAAAGAAATCAGTGTGTTAATAATCACCCTAGCTGCAAATGGTGAGAAATAACCCAGAGCACTTTGCCCAGTTTCTGCATGGGGTTCCAAGACCAGGAAAAGTAACTTTCCTTAAGTAACAACCAAGCAGTTCAAGTAAGAGCTAGACTTGTAGCTTATGGAAATCACTGATTTTCCACAGAAACAATGTTTTAAAAGTATTTACTTTTTGCAGTGTTAATATTCCGTTCATATTGCTTTTTGTTTGCTTCCAAACAAGTCATTGAAATAAGTCACCGCTGCTTCCTGAGGAGTGTTTTATATTTAAAGTCGATTCAGTTTTAGTGGTTTTCTAAGCTTTGTATGTTCCACAATGGAGTAATATTTAATTGCTTCAGTAAACTCACCACAGAAGAACCTGACTGTGTAATTTTTTTCCTTTTCTTTTGTTATATTTTCTCTTCTTTCATCTTTAATTTTTAAATCCAGGAAGGTTCAACTGCCATTTTATTAAACATGAAAATTTCTTCTAAACAATTTGAGAAGGATCTATCCTTTGACTGCCTTGAGGACCTCAGGCAGCAGCTTGCTGTAGATCTAATGAAAATCTGTCTGTGCTTATGCACAAATTGACTAAAGAGAGTATATCAAATGTTAATTCATAGATGCAGAAGTAATATGCAAATAGAGATTCTAACCTTACTGCACCATCATTTTTAATGAAATAAGTTATTCAGCCCTTACATTTAAGGAAATAATAAAATAATGCCTTGGCTCAGTGCACTGGAATATAGAGTCTCTTCCTCGTAATTCACTGATTGCCAATTTTCTTCCTTTGCCACCAGATGTATTTGAACTTACTGAATTATGAGGACTTTTAAAAAATTCTTAGCTTAGGTAAGCTTAACAGTAAAAATTTCTAGTTGTGTACAAATTATGTGTCAGTATGTTTTACCCATATATAAACCTGTACACACATAAATAGAGTACCCTCCCCTCATCTTCAGGGAATACATTCCAACATTCCCAGTGGATGCTTGAAAGTGCGAATAGTACTGAATATTACATACACTGTGTTTTTGTCTATACATACATACCTATGATAAAGTTTAATTTATAAATTAGGTATAGTAAGAGATTAACAATAACTAATAATAAAGTAGAGCACATAACAATACTTATAACAATATAGTGAAATAAAAATTATATGAATATGATCTCTCTCTTAAAATATCTTACTGTACCGTACTCACCTGTTTTTGAACCTTGGTTGACTGAGGATAACCAAAACCACAGAAACTGAAACCATGGATAAGGTGGGGACTAGTATAATCCTGAGACAGATTGCTAATGCAATACAATATTGATACAAACTTGATAAATGTATTACAGCTTCTCCAAGATGAGAGCTTATTAAAAACACATAAACTTACTTCTACCTATAACATTTTGAAAATTGAAAACATATAAATTATGAAATTACATCTGAAGTGAATATTAATTATATATAATTTTACCATAAATTATTTTCAGCTAAAATTTCTCACTATAGAGGAAGGCATTTTAAAGTATTTTTATCACAGATGAGAATATTTACTATGATAAAAAATATTTATTAGCAATTATTTCATAATCGGTGGTTCCACCAGAAAATTTTGAAATCAAAGAATTCTCCATCGAGCAGCAGGGCATTCCTGTAAAATTCTACTAAACAAACTGTTTTTCCTAATAATGTATGTAGATCCCTCATTATTTAGAGTTCCATCCTTTTCAAGAAACAAAGTATAATGATATTAAAGGAAAAACTAAGGAACAATTTGGGGGTGAGTTAGGACACATGTTGAGTCGGTTTGTCCAGATTCGGTCTATCCTGCCCATCATTTCATGTCCATGTTGACTTGTAATGATTTGCATCAGTTTAAGCAAACTAACCATCACAGCTTAAGTGAAAGAGGTGAAACACTAGGAAAATATGATGTGAATAGGTGAAAAATTCAAAAAATCACAGAGAAACAATATGGATCTAGGTCAGAGAGATCCTATTAATTTAAGACCTTAATTTTAGACCTTATCTCATAACACCCAATATCAAATGAAAGTGGATGAAATGAAAAAAAAAATGTAGTTATATAAAACTAATCAAGTTGCCCCTGGCATCAGGGGGAAGAAAGACTTTTTTTTTTTTTAACATAGCAAAGCTTTTACTATAGATACAGTATACAACATTCAATGGATTATAGACATACCAACTTATACCTATGTCATTTATTAATCCATTCATTCATTCTTTAAACACTGAGGCACAACAGCCTCATGTATCAAACTGTAACCTAGGTATACAGTGTGTCTGTGGGACAAACGTGCTAATTATTGATTGTATGGAATAAGATTATTGTTAAGAAAGGCAAGTAGCAAATATGAATAGGCAACTATTATTACATGTAATATTCATCATCCTGAGGTTGTTAGTATAAATTTCTGTTTTAAATGATTGATCTGAATGGCATAATGTAGCCTTAATCTCAATGGTTTAGACAATTGGAAGAGAACACTTGTTTAAAATCTATAGAAATTTTATGATTAACTATTTAAAGTATACAATTCTGTGAAGAAAATAAATAACAGCAAGGCATTACATAAAAGATTTTTGAGGAATGAAGATATTAAGTTAATTACTTTTTTGTCATTTTGTACTGGAGAAATTTCAAACCCTGGTTATACTACCATTTTAAAACTTATTTCCATTTAGAAATAAGTTGCTTGTATATTTAGCTGCATTAAAGCATAAGATATTACTATAATAAAAGTACAAATTCTAAAGTCATGCCCTTTTCTGAGTTATTAACTTCAAGATTATAATGGCTTTTTAGTCTGTCAAATTTAAAAACAACTGAAGTAAGAAAGATAAGTGAACAATACACATGAATAAAAATTTAATGGAAATTAAAAAGAGAGAAATATTGACCAATGGAAGAGAAAAAAATAAACCTTGACAGAGGAAAAAATAGGCCATAAGACATTTTTGATGGCATGCTTATGGTACTTAGCAATGTGTATATACCACAAAGGCAAATATAGCACACTAGGCAATTGTAGCAGTGGTGGTTGTAAAAAAGGACTGTGCCACTGTAACGTGTTAACACTTAGATAGAATATGTTTTGTCAGTGAAATATTTTGTAAGGATATGATCATTTTAATAAAATTATAATTTTCACTCAGTCCAAATATCTGCCAGGTAAATACTCTAGATTTCATAAACTTGTGTGTGTGTGTGTGTGTGTGTGTGTGTGTGTGTGTGTGTGTGTATGTGAGAGAGAGAGAGAGAAAGACAGAGACAGAGAAGGAGAGAGACAGTCCAAAAGAGACAGACAGAGACAGAGAGAAGGTGGAGGTTGAAGGGTGGATAGAACAAATGAGAAAAAGAAAGGAGAGAGACAGAGAGAAAATGCCCGAGCCTACTAATGAATAAGAATATATTGGATATAGCACTAGCCAGGACATAACTCTACTCAGCAGCATTTAAGTTTCTTCTACTTCTAAGGATGAGGTACAAGTTGCAGAAAGTTGTTTTGATTTGGTCTGAATTCCTATTGTTGTATTCTGCTTATCTTATTCTATTATTTGCTTTCTATATTATTTATGTTCCATTATAGTCTATCCCAGTTTGATAAAATTCCTCATTTAAGACACATGGCATCATCAATCTTTGCTTCCATATTTGCTTAGTGATCACTTTAAGACAAGTTGTTACTGCCAAAGAAGCTTTGCCTCTTCCTAGTATACACTGCAAAATTCCAATGAATTGGACTGTTTACTTAGTAGATAGATGGTTTTTTTGTGTTATATATTCAGCCTAGCTCTCCAAATTTAAAAAATTCTGCTTGCTTTCTATATGCTGAATTATCTGTCAACCTTCAAAAAGGAGCTTACACTAACTCTTGGACCAAGAAGGAAGAAAACGTAATTGCTGATTTAAATCTAAGAAGACACATTTCTCCTTCCTAAGCAAATGATTTTGTTTAGGTTTCACCCACATCCTTCATAAGTTTCACAGGAAATGATCACTTATTTAATGCCCAGGAAGGAATCATTATTTATCTAAATGGGTCATAGTAGTCTTATTCTCTTTACCAATAATAATTTTACTTCTGATATGCAACATGGTTCTTGTAGATGTCATATGAAGTAACTTCTGCAGGGTAGCATTTGAGTGGTAATTTATCATTACCACTATGATAAATTCTTTCTTTCTGAGCTTATATTTTATCATTAGTATAGACTCTGTGTTAGGCCATTATTGCAGTGCTATAAAGGAATACCTGAGACTGGGTAATATATAAAGAAAAGATGTTTACTTGGCTCACAGTTCTGCAGGCTGTACAAGCATGGTGCTGGCATCTACTCAGCTTCTGGGGAAGCCACAGGAAGTTTTTATTTATGGCAGAAGGTGAAGTGTGAGCAGGCACATCCCATGGCAAGAGCAGAAGCAAGAGAGAGAGTTGGGAGTGGGAGGTGCAACCCACTTTTAAACAACCACATCTCTCCAGAACTCACTCACTGTCACAAGGACAGCATCATGCTATGAGGGATCCGCCCCCATGACCCAAACACCTCCCACCAGGCCCCTGCTCCAACACTGGAAATTTCAACATGAAATATGGGTGGGACCACATCTAAACTATGTCAGACTGCATAAGCATATTTCAGTCAAGAGAAAAGCTAGCAAAATGATGGGAAAAATGTAGAGGAAGCCTACCTCTGTGTACAACTGTATACCACTAGGCAGTGCAGTTTATTTAATAATCCTACAGTTGCCCAGTGTCTATTACAAGTTCCACAGAAATCAGGGATGAGTAAATAATATATTCCTACTTTTTTATGAAGTAAAATCTTAGTCTGCATAAATGATAAAGTGGGAAATTGTAATGAGGAAAAAAGAAAGCCTCTTTAGGATGTACTATCAAACTGGTCATCACCTGTATCGAATGTGGCTGATTGCTCCATCTGGCGCTATTCTCTTCCAAAAAGACAAATAAAAGACTACTTAGGACAGCTTTGGAATTGGTAATTATTATGTAGAAATGAGGAGAAAATAAGAATAATTTATCTAGGAGCTCCTCTTTCCTTCATGTAATTTGATATTCCAGAAGGAGAAGAAAGAGGTAAAGACAAAAGGACTTGTAACGGTGAAAAGTGATACATAATGGTACATATATGTACCTTTATTATAACTGTTCCTTCAGTTTTTCATTTCTTTGTATAGATAAATCTTCTGATACCATATTTCTTCAGTGTGAAGAACATTCTTTATAGCACAGGTCTGCTATTAAAAAAATTCTCATTTTCTTTGGTCTGAAAAAATATTTAACTTGCTTGTGTTGTTGAAAGGTTTATTCACTGGATATAGAATTTTGGGTTGTGGGTTTATTGCTTTTCATACTACTGAAATATCATTCCAGAGTCATCTGGCTTGCATAGTTTCTCATAGGAAGTATTCTGTAATTCTTTACATTTTTCTGTTCATTGTGTGTTATTTTTCTCTGGCTCCTTCAAATGTTTCCCTTTCCCTTTACTTTTCAGCAGTTTGACTCTAATATATCAAGATATTTCTTTTTGTTGTAGTGCTGGTGGTTATTGTTGTTCTATTTATTATAGATTTCCCTGAGCTTCTTGGATCTTTTATTATGTTTGGAGAACTCAGTCATTATCGCTTCACATATTTTACCTGCCTCATTCTCTATTTCTTCTCTTTGTGCCGTATCAAACTATACATATTGGGCTATTCTGTGTTATTCCACAGCTTTTATATATTCTATTTTGATTCTTTTACCCCATATTTTTTTCTTCACACTTCAGTTTGGTTACTTCTATTGAAATATCTGAAAGTTCACTGAATCTTTTCTCAGCTGTGTCAAGTCTGTGTAACTGTGATGGACATATTTAAAGAGGTGTTTTTGTTTTTGTTTTTATCCCTAAGGTAGTAATTTTGTCTGTTTGTTTGCTTGCTTGTTTTTTCTAGCATTTCCATTAGGCTAGGCTTCCTCTTATATTTGCCATATCCCTACTAAAATGTCTCATTTATTCATACATATTGTCAATCTTTTCCACTACGTCCTTTAATATGTTAATCATAGTTTTTTAAAGTCCTGACATTGTAGTCACCTTGGAGTCTGACATCTGAGTCATATCTGAATCTGGTCCTGTTAATTACTTATCACTTGGCAATAGCTCATGTTTTCATATGTTTCTGTATATATTATAAGTTTTATTAAATGCCAAACATTGTTTATAGTTTAATAAAGACTGAAGTAAATAATATTTAACCTGAATATGAACATTCCTCTTTCTTCTATAGGTCATCAGTGTGGAGTGTTGAATCAATCTAGTTAGAAATTGAGCTGAAATTTAGTTTTGTCTCTAAAGTTACTGTCAGTAAATTATAGGCTCAATTCCTCTACTAATCAACTTTCATTGCCTTATTTGGGATAGGGTAGAATTGGGATGCCATACAAATTTTTTCAGTGTTTGTGCTCTATCTTCAGCTTTCACCATGCATGCATACCTACACAACAGAAAAATATAGCTCCACATTCTTGTCCCTCCCCAATGGTTGATTGTTATTGCTTGTTAACATGTGCCAACTTTGTGGTTAGAAATGTTCTGTTATTCTGGCCTCACTTCAGTCTTAGGGAAGCCATATGCATCTGGACCTTGGAGTAGAAGTTTTCCAGCATAGATAGTCTACCTCTTCATGGCAGGCCAACTTAACCTGTTATCTGTAAACATTTGTCATTATCCAAGATATCTAAAGTTATTATTTTACCAGAAGAAAGAGTCCTGGAAAGGGAGGAGGACTTTACATCTATTCCCTGTGCTACCACTTGTCACTCTACTTACTCTATGGATAAGCATGTTCACTGCCCCTCCCAAAGAAGCTTAGGCCTTTGTCTCATATGAAAGTAGAATCCACAGACGTGTGCAGTATTTTAAAAGTCATCAATCACTTCCTGCATTCCCTCTTCATGGATAAGCTCTTCCTGGTTTATTATCCTGGTCCCAATTTTGCTCATGAGCACTTGATAGAAACCACGGGGAAAAGCTTGAGAGAGAATGGAAACATTTTTTGTGTCTGGAGCCCCTTAATATTCTGGACTTATATATCTGCCTTGTGTTTTGTTTGTTATATGGTTTTCTGATGTTGTCTTACAATTTACATGGTAGGTGGAATGTCTTTCTTCTTTTTTCTGCCATTGGTGAAACAATTTATGAATTTATATCTTCTTGTAGGTTTTTATTCCTTCTTGGAATTCAGGTCACTTGGTTTCCTTGTGAATTTAAGGCTCTGATGGATTCAAAAAGGTTATAATTTTGTAGAATATTTGGATTCTTATTATTAGCATGGGAGCAACACATTTTGTAGCATTTTTTTTCTGTCTGAAATAGTAGGTTTAGGATACATGGATGAGGATAAAGATAATAAGCTCATCGATGTTTATAGTTTCATTTTTAATATCCTGGAAGCTATATCAGAATGTAAGAAATAATCCGCTATTTTTTTCCTGTAAAAATGTGTATTATTTATTGAGAAAAGGATTAATATAAAAGTATAGATGTGAGTACCGGGAAAGGGAAACTACGGTACTCAAAAGCTTTCTCTAAGGGAATTCTCCTTTAGGGCTTTTCTAAATTCTCTTCTTAATAAACTGGAGATATATAAAACTTAAGCTACAAAATCAGATTTGTGGATTTTTAGCCTCAAATTCAGTATGAAAGGATAGTTTTCAGCTATTTTATTTTATAAGCATTTGAAGTCCCCAGTGAAATTAAGACAGAAATGGTGTCAGTGTAACATCCTGAAACACAGTTGTTAACTGTAAATTTACAGTTATAATTCTTGATTGCTGATTTTCCAAGTCACTAAAAAACCCATTGATCAAGCAAAACTAATTTTATTAGGACTACTACAATAAGGGAAAACGCCATCTTAATACATAGATATATTGACAAACTCTTAGTAGTGTCTCAGAGGGGAAGATCAGGGCACAATATGTATAAGGTTTTGCTGTCTTGGATAAAGTTATTATTGGTGGGAATTGATTGGATGGACAAAATGGATGACATAATAGTTTAGAATTGCTGGACATGTCAAGGCAAGTGCTTTTAAATGACTTTTGATAAATAAAGAGTTATTTAATAATTGAGATATTAGTACAGGTGATCACTTGCTCTTGTCCTGATACAAGAGCCTTTTTTTGCCTATACGAGAAACTATTTGTTTGGAGGGATTTCCTAAAGCAAATAGATAAGTTATTTAATGATGTACAGTCTAATCTCCTGTACATGAATTTCCAGGAGCAAATAGCTAAGTCATGTTGACACAGGTAGCTTCAATTATCAGTCCTGATTGTTAAGTTATTGTATCAAGGTAGTTTATAAAATTGTTACCGCGATGGTGTTTTAGTTATCTGATGTTGCAAACAAACCATCCCAACATGTGCTGTTTTAAAACATTACTATTTTAGAACATTTCATAGTTCTGCTTGTAGACAGGATTACCTGGAAAGTCCTGGTTTATGGTATTTCATGAAATTGCAGTCAGACAGAGGCTGGGGCTAGATTCATATAAGGGCTCAGTATCCAAGATAGTTCATTTTCATGGCTGATATTTGATTATTGCTCTTGACTAAAGCAAAGATGTGTTGTTCAATAGAGTGGCTACACTTTGCGGTTGTGCTTCTCATAGTGTGGTAGGTAGTTTCTAAAAGGATGCATCCCAAGAGTCAGCTTTTCAAGAGACCCAAGTGAGTGTTGCAAGGCATTTCTAACTTGTCCCCAGAATGTTACGTTCACCATATTCTATTAGTCAAATAAGTCACTAAAACTAGTCCAGATTTAGGGTAATATGGAATTTGAGCTCCGGATGTGAGAAGCAGTAGGCATATATAGCAAGGGTAAGCATCTTCGAGACTATCTTCCACAGACTGTGCTATGGGAACCATAATTCATGTTTCTTCCACATGCAACATCCATTAATTCTCTAAGAAAGAGCTTGAAACTCATCCCATTACAACACTGGTTCTAAATCCAGAATCTCAACAAATTGGATCCAAGTCATCAGGTGTGACTCCTCTCAATCTCAAAATCTGTTAACTAGAGGATAATTTATCAGTCCCCATCATGAACTCAATATTAAATGCTGATACAAATACAATATAATTGCAGTAGACACACCCCCTTCAAGAGTGGGGAAAGGACAGGTTGGCACATAGCCATCACTAGTCCATAACAATTCTGAAATCCAGCATAACATACATAATCACTTGTCTAGTTAGGTTAAATCCTACTCCCTAGGAATGACTCTCCATGGATCTTGACTCCATTCTCTTGAGTATTGGCCAAGAAACCTGAGTCATCCACAAGATATTACCTGTGTTTGCAGCTAAGTAGTCTCATTTTTCTTTCTCTTCATAGAAGATTGGGACTATGAAAGTTTTCATTTTAAATGGTCTCTGTCTTTTTTTACTCCAAAGTGATAACTTTTTGTTAATTCTATACTTCTAAAATGGGAGGAATTTCCTATAAATATTACTGGGTTTCCACTTAGTTTACTAAAGAAATACCCAATAATTTATTTGAGACAGGATTCTTTTCTGGCTAGGGTTGAGAGTCATGGTGCTATGGTACAGTGCCCTTGAGGTTTTAGAAATCTTCCTGGCTAGAAAGTGAATCTAAAAGAGACAAGATTATTAGACTTACCAGCTGAAAATTTCTGGAACGTGTACCTTTAATATTTTTAGAAGTCTATTTGTCTAGCTGATACGGTGCACATAGGACTGTCATAAATGTTTCTGAGGTCTTAATAAAAGGTCTTAAAACTATACCCTCAAGCTGAACATTACTACCTTGAGGCCTCATTTTGTTGCAAACACCTTGTATTTAGTCTTCACCCTGGGTTTTTTCCTTATTTTAAAAGCTTTTGTCTTGTTGAGCCTTTGAGAATGAGAAACAGTTTAGTTTTTGACCCAATATATCCAAGTTTTGTTCTATTTCTCTCTAAATTTGTCTAGAAATGGAACAATTCATTTTTTAGACTGTCTCTCTTTATCTGTATCTGATCACACAAGGCTTTCAAAAACTGTTACTTGTATGGTTCTGGAAATCTCCTTAAACAAATCCATCAATTCATTATGTATATTTTATGTTTTCTACTTAATCCCAGGTAATAGAGTTGTCAAATATTTTGATACTATATAAAATGGGTATCTTTACTCTATAATAAATTTTTCTCAATGTCCTTCAAGTCCACTGTAATCTTTTTGAGGTCCCTCCAGTTTGTGCCTATCTTTAGGCTGAAAGTCATAGCCACATGTTTGAAGACTGTGCTGTCATGTGTCTTAGTCTGTTTGTGTTGCTATAACAAAGTATCACAGACTGGGTAATTTATAAAGTAAAGAAATTTGCTTCCCACAATTCTTCAGGCTAGAAAATTCAATATCAAAATAGCAAAGGCCTGGCAAAGGCCTCATTGCCACAGCGTCTATAGCAGAAGGTGGAAGGACAAGAGAGCATGGGTAAGAACAAGACAGAAAGAGACTGAACTTCCTTTTGCAACAACCCCACTTTCCTGATAACAAAACCAATCTCTGGATAAAACATTCATTCACTCATAAGGACAGGGCCCTTATGGTCTATTCACCTCATACTGGTTCTACCTCTTAATACCATCACAATGACAATTAAATTTCACTGTGAGCTTTGGAGGGCACATTAAAAACAAAGCAGTAGCATTCCACTTCTGGCACTAATATTTGTTATAATTATGTATTGCTATGGGGGAAAATCCCAGATTAGTGATTTAAAATAACAATTTACTGTGATTCCTCACAGTTTTGCAGATTGACTGGTCTTGGCTGGTTTATTGTCACTTTGGATTTCTCATGAAGTTACAATAAATTGGAAACTGGGGCTGGAGTGGTCTGAAGGCTCCAATGCACTAGATATGTAAGATGGCTCATTAATATTCCTGTCAGTTTATGCTATTGCCTAGGAGCTCATCCTTGTTGTTTACCAGATCAGTGACACATGGTCTCTCTACGTGGCTTTGACTTCTCACAACATGAAAGCTGGTTTCTAAGCGGAAACATCCCAAAAATAAGCATTCAAGGGCCTAGGTGGAAGGCTAAAGGCTTCTGTTGACCTAGTCTTTGAATATCAAGAATATTACATCCACTGCATTCTGTTGTGTAAACAACTCACTAAGGCTAACCCTCAAGCAAATGAGAAGCAGAATATACATACAGAGAAAGAAAGTAATGATGGTAATCATTCTATCTACCACAGAAGGTGCATGCAAATTCAGTGGAGAAATAATGCCCAGAGTGAGTGTACTAGAGAAGTAGGACTATTTAAGAAAGTTCTGTATCTGTGCACCATAGTACGTTAAAAGCTACATCACCCCAGTCTTTTGCTAACTTCTTTATCTTCATAAATTTCTGTCTCATGTTTAGTAATCATGCTAACAAGGAAAAAATTATGTCAGTTTGTCAATTACTAAATCATTTTAGTTTTTATTGTTTTATAAAAACTACCACTGATATAGGAGACTTATTTCATGACAACATAAACACACACACACACACACACACACACACACACACACCCCAGAGAAGCATAGATTAATACTATGACAGATCTGTCTCCCTTAATAAGTGCTTGTTATGGTTTGTAAGTGTCTCGCAAAAATGCATATGTTGGAAACTTAATCCTCAAAGCTATGGTGTCAGGAGATAGGGCTTAATGAGAGGTGAGCGAGCCATAAGAGCAGAGTGAATAGGTTAATTCTGTTGTCAAGGAAGTGGGTTTGCCATAATGGAGGAATTCAGCTTCCTTTTATTCTCTCTTTCTCTCTCTCTCTCTTGCCCTCTTTTTGCCTAATTGCCATGGGATGATGCAACAAAAAGGCCCTTTCCAGATGTGAGCACCTTGATCTTGGAGTTTGCGGCCACAAGAACCATGAATCAATAAATTTCTGTTCATTATAAAGTATCTAATCTGTTATAGTCTGTTATAGCAACACAAAATGAACAAATATGGTGCCCATATAATGAATAAAATAACATTTAACTTCTATTTAGTTTGGTGAGATGGATTGTCAGAGATTAATTTGCTATAGAATTTTGATTTCTGAAGACTAATCAAAATTTTGCTTTTCCTTACACTGTGCTGATTCCTAATTAACTTCCATTATTCAATTCATCTAAATAATGATGATAGTTACATATCACTAGGCCATTTTGTAGCCTGTCATTGTAAAGGTTTATGGTATTTTTTTTAAATGAAAAACTAGTTGGTCCTTTGCCTTTGAATCTTCAGGTTGATAGCTTTTGAACCATATATACATTCACAAAAATTTTAGGGGTAAATTTCACAGGTAATTAAATATGCTTAATTAAAAATACAGTATGTAAATGTTCTGCTTTCAAGAGAATTGCTTAACCTCTATATGATGTCTTTAAAAATAGAACAAAATAATTGCCCAGTATTATTTTGTTGACAAGTTTTAAGGGGCTGCTTAGAGATATTTTAGCTTGCTAAAGGCCTTCAGCTTGCTACAGTTAAATTTTAAAAAACAAAAGCCAATGTATTAATAAATATTACTTACTCTTCCTGCCAAAAAAACAGATAATTATCTTTAAAATGCACACACATATACATTCTTATCTAAGTTGGATAAACCCAAATATTTATCACCTAATATTTATTAAAGACATTCAGTAAATGAGCACTGCAGATATATTAAATTTTGTGAGTGACACACACACACATATTTAATGTAGTTATAACTACAGCAGCTCATTATAGTAATAAAAGATATATAAAAATAAACATTTAAATGATCAATATAAGAAAAAGAATTACAGATTTTAAACTAATATATTTTGTAAGGAATTATTAAGTGAGGCAACTTTAGAGGAGTAGTGGAGTAACATTTTAATTATTTTGTATAATAAAATAAATACATACTCAATGTAAAATTTGTTGATAGTAAATAAGATAAATAAGAAAGTAACCAGTAATCTTGGTCCCTCCATTTATTAGCTTTGGAAATTTTGCCTGTTACTCGGTTTATAAAATGAGAATATAATAGTACCTATATTATAGGGTAGTTTTCAGTATTAAACACATGTTCATGTGTATAAAGAACCTAAAAGAGTATTTAGCACATGAAAAATATTCAAGGTGTTAGCTATTATCATTATTATATAAAGTAATTTATTTAAAAAATTTGTTGAAACTTTGCTAAGTGTATTACACTTGTCTAGTTCATCATGTATATAAATAAACTTAACACACTGAATTCTTTGTCTTATGGAGCTCATATTTAAATAAAAAGAGACTGAAAATTCATATAAAAATAATGAGTATATTGCCTGTTAAAAAGTGAAAAATGTTATGAATATAAGGAAAAATAAGTGGAATGGAAACTACTTCAGAAGCAGGTGGTTTTACCTTTAAGCAGTATGGACAGAATGTATCTAACTGAGAAAGTTGCATTTGAGCAAAGACCTGATGGAGCTAACATACTGAATTGTGCACAATAGCAAGTGTAAAGGTCCAGAAACACCAATGTTCTTGGTGTGGTCAGGGAATAGAAAAGAGGCTGCTGGATAGGGAAGGCTGAGAGAGGAAAAGAGTAGTAGGCTGGGTGTGGTGGCTCACTCCTGTAATCCCAGCACTTTGGGAGGCCAAGGCAGGCGGATCACAAGGTCAGGAGTTCAAGACCAGCTTGGCCAACATAATGAAACGCTGTCTGTACTAAAAATACAAAAATTAGCTGGGTGTGGTGGCGGGTGCCTGTAGTCCCACCTACTCAGGAGGCTGAGGCAGGAGAATTACTTGAACCTGGGAGGCGGAGTTGCAGTGAGCAGAGATCATGCCACTGCACTCCAGCCTGGGCGACAGTGCAGAAAAGAATAGTGATATGGTTTGGTTGTGTTCCCATCCATATCTCATCTTGAATTTCCACGTGTTGTGGGAGGAGCTCGGTGGGACGTAATTGAATCATGGGGGCAGGTCTTTCCCATACTGTTCTTGTGATAGTGAGTAAGTCTCACGAGATCTGATGGTTTTCAAAAGGGGAGTTTCCCTGCACAAGTTCTCTCATTTTTTGCCTGCGGCCATCCACATAAGACGTCACTTGCTCCTCCTTGCCATCTGACATGATTGTGAGACTTCCCCAGCCATGTGGAACTGTATGTCCAATTAAACCTCTTTCTCCTGTAAATTTCCTAGTCTTGGTTATGTGTTTATCAGCAGCATGAAAATGGACTAATACATATAAGAAGGTTGTGGTCAGAGAGCCAAAAGGGGAGTCAATTATGCAAGGACTTTTAGGCCTATGGCATTTACTCTATGCAAAATGGGGAGCTACTAGAGGATTTTTGAGTAGACATGTTCTGATGGCTATTTTTTAAGGATCTTACTGCTTTCTTCAGACTAGAATATGAGAAGACAAAGGTGGAAGTAGGAAAACCAGTTAGAAGCTTATTGTAGTCTTCCAGGAGAGAGATGATTATGACTTAGGCTAGGATGGTGGCAAGGAATGACAGTGCTAAGGGAAAAGCTTGTGATGCAGGAGAGAATGAAAAAACTTTCCAGAATTAAATCATTGAATAGGAGAGAGAAGTGATTACTTTGCTTTAAATAGGAGCCTAAACTGTTCATACAGCAACAAGAAGAAAGGTGGGACTGTGTGGTATTGAGAATTTGTGAAATCCTCTTGTAATATACTATCGTTGTTGTTGTTTCTAACTGAAGATATAAATATTATTAATATCTAATGTGTTCGCTTCCAAGCTCTTCTTTCTCTATCATATGTGAAGATAAAAGCAGAGATCAAGGTAATGCATCTGCAACCCAAGGAATGCCAAAGATTACCAGCAAACCATTAGATGCTGAGAGAGGGGCCATGAAAGAAATTCTCCTTCACAGCCCTTAGAAGGAACTAAACCTGCTGAGACATTGGTCTTGGATTTCTGGCCCCCATAATTGAAAGACAATAACCTACATACCCCTGATGTCAGACTCCAAGGCTCCATAAGGGAGAGACAATGCATTTCTGTTGTTTAAGCCATCCAGTAAGTTGTACTTTGTTATGGAAACCCTAGCAAACTAATACACTACCTTAGTCAAGTAATGAAGGTCAACAGCAACTGAAATAAGTCATATTGACAGGATGTATTCTTGATATGATATAACCAAAGTGACACTTTATCTCTGTGATTTTTCTCCCAAATGCACATAGCTCCAGTAAAAACATGACAAAAACATCAGACAAACCTCAGTTGTGGAACATTCTATAATATATTTAACAAGTACTTCTCACAACTATTGAGGTAACAAAAATAAGGAAAAAATCTAAGAAACTGTCATAGTCTAGAGGCACCTAAGCATACATGATAATTAAATGTAATGCAGTATTGTGGATTGGATCCCAGTGGGGGATGGGAAGGACCTTAGGTAAAGGCTGAGAAAATATGAATAAAGTATAGACTTCAGTTAATAATAATCTATCAGTATTGGTTCATTAATTGTAACTGATGTGCCATACTAATAGAAGTAATAGTAGGGGAAATTGGAAATTAGTTATACAGGAATTCTCTATTACCTTTGCAATTTTATAGAAGCTAAACCTGTTTAAGGAATAACATGCATCTTTTAAAATCCGTGGAAATATATTTTTAATTTTTTTTTTTAATTAGCCAATTCTGAGGGTATATGTACAGGTTTGTTAAAAGCATATATTGTGTAGTGGTGGGATTCAGGCTTCTACTGTACCCATCATATGGATAGTGAACATTGTACTCAGTAGGTAATTTTTCAACCCTCACTCCTGTTCCACCCTTCCCCCTTTTGGAGTCCCTATTGTCTACTGTTTCCCTCAGAATGTCCATATATACCCATTGTTTAGCTCCCGCTTAAAAGTGAGAACACATGGTATTTGATTTTCTGTTTCTAAGTTATTTCACTTAGAATAATCACTTCCAGCTAAATCTGTGTTGCTGCGAAAGACATTTCTTTCTCTTCATGGCTGTGTAGAATTCCATGGTATATATATATATGTCATATGTCACATTTTCTTTATTCAGTCACCTGGGGATACATTTGGTGACCTCTACATTAATTTGTCCAGACCTAGATCTCTGAATCTGCCATGCTTCTTGCATCTTAGCCAGATCTTCTCCACAGTTAGGGTTAACTTTTCATCAGCTTAGTTTACAATGATGTTGACAAGATAATGAGTTCACAAGCATGGTGAAGGGTATCTTCATTTTTCACTTACTCTCTAGACTTGAGAAAAGGTAGATGAATAAAAGTTGTTTCATAATAGCAATTTGTTTTATTTTGAAAAAGAAACATTTTTATTTTAAATCTGATAGATACACAATCTAAGAGATGCCAGGATAAAGAGGTAAGATTATGTGGAAGAAGAATATATTCAGTATATAAATATTTTATTATGAAACCCAGAGAATAGTTTTATAGGTAAATTGCACGACAAACATGATATGCATAAACAAGTTGGTTACAAAAAAGAAAATACAAAAATGTGCCACACATTAGCCTTTCCACTTTATTTTTAAAGCAACCAGATTAAATAGAAAAATGCCTGATTGTTTTAAAATTACAAAATAATTGGTTAGAATGAAGAACAATGTACAAAATATTCTAAAATTGAAGATTTATCAGAGAAAAGTACCAAAATACTACTAGAGAGCAAAAAAGAATTCTTTGAGGGCAAAGACTTACATACACACACACACAAATACTTATTTCTAAATGGAAATATAGTTTTAAAACTCATTTTATCTGACTTTCAAGCATGAAAATAATCTTTAAATAATCCCAGTTTACTCTGGAATGAATACTAGATTTTCCAGTCTCTTTAAGCAACACTAATAACTTTATGAATATAAATAAAGCAAAAATAAGTGAACTACAACAAAATTGAGGTAAAATCCTTTAACTTTCAATATCAAACATTATACTAACCTTCTGAAAAAAAGCAAATATATAACCTGTGGTTTATTTTGTGTAACTATCAATTATATTATTTAACTGTCATTGTTCTAATCATATATGATTATGGTAAATAATATTTTTAGATTATTCTAATTTTTTATCTTTCAGTTTATTTTTTCAGTTCACTAATTTAGAAGTATCCAATGTGACAACATAGTTTATATCAATTTTCGTATTTTTATTTTAAAATACATAATAAAAGTTTTGTGTCTAAATTGCATCTTTTATAAATAAACATGGCATTAGTGATCTCTGTCCATTGAGTGTGCTTTTGGGTTGTTGTTCTCACAGTCCTCTTCTTTCATCTGGTCTCCTCTTAGGAACAAAGACAATTTGTCAGGGTTTGGGATATGAGCTGTGACCACAGATTAGAGCAAAGTTAATTATTCTGTAGAAGCTTCAAATCCAAGACTTTGACCTTAAGAATGTCATGCTTGAAGCAGTCAGACTAAGTTGGCCACAGACAAATTAAATTCTTTAAAGAAATCCAAGTTGTAGATTAGCTAGATTTTTGAACCAGTGCTGATGGGGTAGAGATGGTAGCTCATTTATCTCATACTTTTGGTTTTGCCGTTGAATAAATTAATCTATTCCAGAGAGCTTGCTGCACTCTGGGGTTTTTTCCTCCTTTTTGTTTACTTTTGTTCTTCCCTTCCTACACATCCACAAAGCCCTCACAGAGTCCAAAGAGAGTTAAGATATAAGATGAAACAGTTCCGTCTTTGAGCTTCCTTTAATTCCCAATTATTTATATCCTTCGTCATCAAGAAATAAGGTTTTCTATTAATTGGGATAGTTTCCTCAGTTTACATAATTTATGGTTTAAAAGGAGAAACCTTCATTTTCAGGTTTGGAACATTAATGTGGGTGTTAACGCTAATATTTTTTTTTCACCCTTCTTGTAAGGGAGATTAATCAATATGCTTTATTTTTCTCTACAATTATCTCTTGGTTTTATCCCTCCCTATCTTGATTCAGCTACTACCGTAGCAATGGTTTCCATGGTTGATACCTAACTTAATGAACACTCTTAATGACTGATCTCCATGACACAATTCTCTATCTTCTCCAATACTTAAACTCTTCTCACTTACCTCAAAGGCTCACAACTAATTCTTCATTACCATGCAGTGTGCTTCATTTTCAGTATGGGGTCAATAAGTTATAAGTCACAGAAAAAATTACCCTCCATTTCCCAGTTTTCAAGTCACTGAAATCACAATGGCTCCCCACTTTGCCCCTCATGCTTCGTGGAGTTGACCCTTCTTTCTGTTTGCTAGTCCATAACCACCATCTATACAAGAACCAGGTGCAAATACAGCTGAAGAACCCTAACTGCTTCTGATTATCTCTTCATTTGGCCTCTTTCAATTGCTCAAGTACTAATTCTATGCTGGGTTATTTTGATCATTTTAATTTGATCTCATTAGTTATGGCTACACATAAAGTATCAATGAGGCTTATAAAATGGTTAAAAGGCATAATTCATAGTCTGGCCTTATTTTTCTAAAGTTTTTTAATACAGAAAACAATATTATAATTTTTAGAGCTATATTAAGATGTAATAAAAATGTAAAGAAATTTATGGAAAAGGTAAACCTATAATTTAAAATTAAAGGTTAGTTCTGTGCAGGAGCAGGGGGAAACCGGTTTCCAAATATAAAAGAAATGCTTTATTTCTTGAGCTGAGTGGTGAGTACATTACTTTTATACATTTATGCTTATTATATTTAAAGAGCAGATAATATCCTCAATTTTAGGCTTCAAGTCTGTAAACACGCACACATACTCTATTTTCTCAACTGACTTGTAATATTAGGCTCATGGTTACAGAAGGGGCTTACAAACTTATTTCTTTCAAAAGTCTTTCAAATTAAGAATCCACTACTAATATTCCAATTATCATTTATTCAGTCAGTCATTTACAAAATATATGAATGACTTCTCTTTGATAAGCACCAGGTTGTCAGGGAGAAATACAGAAGACACTAATTTTGTGCCTATTTACTGTGGGAATTTAGATTGTATAGGGAGATACACATATGTAAAAAAAAAAAAAAAGTAAATGAAAGGATTTGTCATAGATGCTCTGTTAGAAGAATCCAGGCAAAAGGCAAAGCCTAAAAATGTGAGAATGAAGTTAGCCTAGTGTCTTAGTCTATTTTGTGCTGCTGTAACAGAATATTTGAGACTGGATAAATTATAAAGAACATAAATTTATTTCTCACAGCTCTAGAGACTTGAATGACCAAGATGAAAGCATCAGTAGGTTTCTTGTCTGCTAAGGGACAAACCTCTGTTTCCAAGGTAGTGCCTTGAACACTGCATCATCTGGAGGTAAGGATCATTCCTCACATAGCAGAAGAGAACAAACCCACTTACACAAGCTCTTTTTATAGTAACATTACTCTGTCCATGAGAGTGGAGCCCTGATGACCTAAACACATCCAACTGGTGCCACCTCCAAATCCTGTTGCACTGGGGACTAAGTTTCAACATGAGTTTTTGAGAGAACAAACACATTTAAACCCTAGCACCTGGGATACAGGGTGGTAGCTGAGGCTCTGAGACACATCAGGCAGCCTCTTAATATTAGGACTTGGTTTTCCACACTCCATTCTCCTGCTCTACAGTGATTTTCTCTACGGGTAGTATTTAAAACATAAATGCATTTTAGCTATATGCATAATGAATTTAATAATATTTCTCAAAAGTTCTCATTGGTAAAACTTATAGCATAGTTTACATGTATAGCCTATGCCTATGAAAGCCAAGTTAAATTAGGTGAGGAAAATATCTGAAATTAAAGGAAAATTCAGCAGTAATGCTAAAATTTTAATTCTAGGAAAAATGTTGAAAACATTCTTTTTTTGCTTTTTTTTTCAGTTTGATTGTAAACATCGTTCTGTACGTCTGAGTATTTATTTCCAACTTTATTTAAGTTATGGTTAGAAGAATGGATGTTAGTATGAGAAAGACCATCACAGAATAGCTATATGTCCTTAGGGAAATTTCTTTACTTCTCTAAGCCCTAATTTTATTTTTATGTAAAATACAATTGATACTAATATTGCTCCTATACTGTTGTGTGAATTAAAACAGGCAATTTGCATAATGCTCTTAACACATTGCCTGGCGTACCATAAGTACTGAAAAATGTTAATAGGTTTATTGTTGTTATTTCTAATTGCCTATAAGGAAAATCCAAATGGCCAGGTGCTATCTTTTATCAGACATTTGAAATTCAATTGTGTATAATTTATTGATAATCCTCTCTTTGTTCTTTAAACATATACTTGAAAACAAGAGAAAGTTTTAATTATATATAAATGTGAGTAAAGCTACAATCTACAGAGTTATGGATTCTGGCTACTACTGACATCAAGAATCATTCACGTGCTTTTCAGCAAGCATCACCATATGTTTACTTACTTCGTTTATTTTATTTTATTCTTTCTTTATTTTTCTGAGACAGAGTCTCGCTCTGTCGCCCAGGCTGGAGTCCAGTGGCACGATCTCGGCTCACTGTAACCTCTGCCTCCCAGGTCTAGCAATTCTCCTGCCTCAGCCTCCCGAGTAGCTGGGATTACAGGTGCCTGCCTCCATGCCTGGCTAATTTTTGTATTTTTAGTAGAGATGGGTTTCACCATGTTGGCCAGGCTGGTCTCGAACTCCTGACATCATGATCTGCCCACTTCGGCCTCTCAAAGTGCTGGGATTGCAGGAGTGAGCCACCTCTCCTGACCCTTACTTCATTTTTTAAGAAAGAACCAGTCTATTTAAATTTGTGTTACAGATTTAAATTTTGTGAAAAATAAGGGAAATTACCATAAACAGCATCATGGCATCAATTTACACAAATTACATGCCACTAATTGCAATATAAAATCTAATGGCAATGTGAATCTTGGTCTTATTTCCAAGTGTTATACTAATTATTTTTTTGCTAGAAAATTTGGCATAATTTATATTTAAAACAGTTTTATGTTAACTCTGATATTATTTTAAATTATTTTTATAGAGTTCATCTTTCTGTATTTGCGACTTATTATTGGAAGCTGAAAGTTTTACCTGGCAGGTTTTATTCCTTAGGAAGATTTTGGAACTGTAAAGGAATGATGATAGGTGGACATTCACGAGTGATTGTTCTCTTCATTCTTGTGTGTTTCCTGTTTCAAAATGCATTCCTCATAAATATTTTTCTTATTTGTACTTTCAAAATCTACACAAATAGTTATTACTGAGGAAACATATAAAACATTTGTATAACTTACAAGAACTCACATCAAATTCCCATTGTTCTTGGAAAATAAGAATTAGTGAAGATACATTTTTGTGAAAAATGGGATAGTCTGTAAAATGTGTATATACATTTATATAAAGATTATGTGTATGTTTTATTTTTGGAATATTATTATTAGTATTTTGAATGAGGTTAATTTACACACAATAGAAAATAAGTTTCTTTCAAAATATTTTATAAAATGTTAAAAAACTAATAAGCAATTTTATATACACATAAGTGGCACCTCCTTAGCAACACTACACAGAAACTTCCATAATGATTTAGCACACATTTTGGCAAGTTTTAAAAAATATAAAATGATTGAATAATAAATGAATGGCATTTAAAAATATATATGGTATTATCTATGGTATTATTTCTTGTAAATCATTGCTATATGTTTGCCTTTCCATGGCAATGCAAAGTAAATGGTAAAATCTGGTATTCTCAAGTGGCAATAGCTGAAATTATGGTGAAGAGAAGTGCATGGTAAAGAACAGGTGCAAGCCGTTTATCTTCATTTTCTCTGTCTTCTATTGGTTAATACCTATTTAAAGTTTGAAGGTAGTGGTGCCTGCCACCGCCCACTTAAAAGAAAAAAGAGGGAGGCTGAGGCAGAGAATTGCTCAAACCCAGGAGGCAGAGGTTCCAGTGAGCTGAGATCATGCCACTGCACTCCAGCCTGGGTGACAGAGCCAGACTCTGTCTCTAAAAAAAAAAAAAAAAAGAGAGAGAAAGAGAGAAGAAAGTGTCGCTCCTTTCTGTTAAGCAAAGATTTGACTTTTAAAATGGCAGGATTAATATCCCTTCTAAAACATTGTTCCTAATTGGAAATCATACAGAATCTATACAACAAGCCACGAAGGTTAGCAGTGGTGGGTGAGGAGCTCTCATGGCTGACAGACAGATAATTGGAGAACAAGAAAACTTGTACTTATCGGAGCCCAACAGCCTCCAGGAAGGAAAGGTCCTTTGCCAGCACTAGATCCAACACTTGACTGGTGTGTGGTTAGACACAGAACGATGATCACAGCATTGGATGCAGTCAGAATTTAATACCCTGGCAGCTGTAGAAACAGTAAGACAATCCACCTCACCATAGTGGAATTGAGTAACATTCACAGGCTTCACTGGGGGTTCAGAAAAGCACAACAGTGCCTACACCCCGGAGCTTCTTATGATTCTCCAGAAGTTTGAATTTTTTTTTTTTCAAAAGGAACATTAACTCAAGGTCATTTCTCCTGACTGATGTTTTAGTGATTAATTTCATTTTCTTTGTTCAAGTGGCCTGTGTATACCTTACAAACTTGTATCAACAAATTGGGTTAGTAGCCTATTAGGCTAAGAAAAATAAAATTATCCCTTCCTCATATTCTCTGTGTACTCTGTATTGTAGCATGAGTATGTCTCCCTAGGTCCTGGCTATCTTTAAATGATAAGGTAAACTTTAATAGAAAAATTATGAGTATGCGTAAGAGTACTGCTAATCTGATTTTCCTTAAATTTTAAATAATTAGAAATCAGGGAAATAGGAAAATACTTCATTTTATGGATCCAAATATGATCGTTTTGGAATCCAGCAATGCTAGATTTTTAATTGTAGTTTGCTCAATTCAGTGAGACATCTCATGTCTTTGGACATTGGTGTGTTGTTTTTCTTTGAATGAATATGACCATTTGCTAGAGTGACATTTCCATATGCTTTGTTCTTTTACAAATCCTTAAATGTGTTTTCTCAATAAGAATAAACACCTTATTCTGTTTGAAAATCTAAGAAATATTTTTTTTAAATCTTTCATAGAAATACTTAGTGCTCAGAAGAGTAGAATACACAGTCTTTATGATAGAGAAGAAAACAAACCAATAAGTAGATATCTTGGATCAGCTGGGAAGCAAACAGAGGAACCGGAGCAGGAGGAATGTGCATGTGGTGGGTGTGGGTGTGTGTGTGTGCATATGTGTCTGTGCATTTTATTGCAGTTGCTGGTATTCCCACCCGTTTCTCAGGAGGGAGGAAACAAAGGGAGCAGGTGAGAGGTTTGGGTGAGGAATTTTTCCAAGGAGTAAATGAAGAAAAGCAGAGTTATGTGCAAGTTGGTGGGGAACTATTAAAAGAAAAAACAAACAGCTGTTAAAAACCAAACAAAACAAAACCCACAGGCTACCATTTCAAAGAAGCTTTGTCTTCCTATCCATAAGAATAGCAATTGATTTTTCTTTAAATTTTCAGAAACTATTAAAAGTATCAAGCGTGTTTCTTTTCTAAGATTTGGTTGATATGTTGGTTGTCCTAGAATTTTGTACTAGTTATTTGGTTAATAACAAATCAGCATTGTGTTTTTATAGCGGAGAGAAAAGCTAGGAGTTAGGACTGTTTCACAAGCCAGTGATAGACTTGTAACTAACAGGGGCATTTATTACTTGCACCAACTAGAGGTAACTGATTAAGTATATCTGGAATAGTTTTGCCTTCTGCTGGAGATGAAAAACAGGGCTCTCCAAAAGACTGTGTGTACAACTAAAGAAGACATTTTGGGCACATGCAAACAGATACAAATGGCTAGTAATTTATCTCAAATTTTAAAAATAGGGACCTTTTTGGCAGTGGTGGATTTTTGTTTGCTTTTTGATGGTTATGTTAATGCAATCGTTCTCATAGTTGGACATTGTTTATGAATATACTCTGTGCAGAGGTCAGCAATTATTTTCTCTATAGGCAGGCTGATGATAGATAGATAGAATTTAGTTTTAGCTTTATTGGCCACATATGGCCTCTGCCACTGCTGCTTCTCCTCCCACTTCTTTTCCCTCTTCTTCTCTTCTTCTCCCTCCATCTATTAGACTACTTTCACCTTTCAAAAATGTCAAAATTATTCATAGCTCCTGTGACATGTCAATTCAAGCCATGAGTCAGATTTGAGCAGTGGGTCATAGTTTGTCAAATCTTGCCTTATAGTTCTACAAGCTGTGTCAGGAAGATCTTCTTGGTCACCAATGAGGATTAATATAGGATGTTGTAAGATCTTTGTTTTTAAAACCAGAAGGTTATTGATTCTGCCTAAAATGTCCAAATTGTTCCTCCCATACAATAAAATAATGAATCACTAATTAAAACCAGAGTGAGATACCATCTTACCCTAGAAAGAACAGCCATTACTAAAAAGTCCAAAAGCAATTAGTATAGGCACAGATGTGGTGAAGAGGGAATGCTTATACATTGCTGGGAGTAATGTAAATTAATACAGCCTCTATGGAAAACAATATGAAGATTTCTTAAAGAACTAAAAGTAGATCTACCATTCAACCCAGCAATCCCACTACTGAATATCCAACCAAAGGAAAATAAGTCACTATATTTACAAAACCTGTATACATATGTTTATTGCAGCATAATTCACAATTGCAAAGATATGGAATCAACTAAGTGCCCATCAGCCATTGAGTAGATAAAGAAAATGTAGTGTATATGTGTGTGTGTGTTTGTGTGTGTGTGTGTGTGTGTGTATATATATATATAATATATATATAATGAAATACTACTCATCCATAAAAAAATAATGATATAATGTCTTTAGCAGCAACTCAGATGGAACTGGAGGCCATTATTCTAAGTGAAATAACTCAGTAACAGAAAGCCAAATACTATATGCTCTAATTTATAAGTGGGATCTAAGCTATGGGTACACAAAGGCACACAGAGTGATACAAAGAGCATTGAGCACTCAGAAGCGGGAGGGTGGAAGTGGAGTAAAGAATGAAAAACTGCCTATTGAGTACAATGTATACTATTCAGGTGACAGGCACACTAGGTACACTAAAATCCCAGACTTCACCACTATACAATTCATTCGTGTAACCAAAAACTACCTGCACCTGTAAAGCTACTGAAACAAAAAAATGAGAAAATATAAAGTAATTCAGCACTGAGGAGCCACTTACTTAAGAACATAACATTAGGAAGACATTAACCACAGGGCCATGGACCATTATTGCAAGAAATGACCTTAAAGATCAATCTATTTAACACTGATTTGTTTTAGAAGTTGTTTTATTTTCCAGATGAGGAAACACACTCTGAGAAAAAGTGTAACTATAGGTTGCCTTCTATAATTCTTTCTTAAAATATCAGGTAGACTTAAGAGCATCAATTTTAAATCAATGCCGTTTATCATTGTCCAAGATTTCTAAAGTGTTTGCATCTCACTAAAACACTGACTTTGTAGAGATAATTTAAATAAGGTTAAAAGATAGGCGATGACGTGCAAAGTAAGATCCAACTGCATGTTTACATAACAGATACTTAATTTAAACACAAATCATAACTTGTGTTTGAATTTAAATGTCTGTTATTTTCCAAGGCCCATCTTATGAAGGGCCTTTTACCCTGATCCTAACTCCATAAATGTCCCTAACCAGTAAACTGGGGATTCATTTTTCGTGAGACTTAGCCTACTTTCTCAGTCACCTTCCTTTTTCACTTTTCACAGTTTTCCTGAATCATCTTATCAATATCCATAAGTTTTATATCTAGTGTCCCAAATCTCTACCTTTACAATTCTAGCCCTGTCTTTCTTTCTCTTGATTCATATATGTGATTTCCTGTTAGGCACCTTTTTCTGGTGCTACCACATGTGTCACATATATAACATGCTCAAATTATAACCAATTCTCATTTTTCACAAACTGCCTTTATCTGTATTACAATATCAGCTTCATCCAATTCCCCAACAGTGAATACTAGGCATCCTGCTTAACTTATCTAGCCCCTCTTTATCCCCATGCTAAATGACTTATTGAATTTTGTTGATTCTATCTCTTTTGTATCTTTTATATCCATCTGGTTTCCATTTCCACCACTACTGAATTAGTGCAGGACCTCATTATCCTGGCTTATGCTAGTTCAATAATCTCTCTGCCAGCAGCCTTGACCCTCTCTAATCCATATGACACTGCAGCTATAGTAATCCTTTAAAATGCAAATTTAATCATCTTATTTCTTTGTTTAAATCCTTCAAATGGCTTTTCATTTCCTATAGGTTAAAATCCACATGCATTTTGGTGGCATACAAGTCACTTTCATGATCTCACACCCAAACTCATCTCTTGCCTCTGCACTCCATAGGAACCTCCAATCTTGATAACCTAGGCTGATTTTTTAGTTTCTGTACAGCCCAAATATAATTCCTCACATTCTGCTTTCTCTACTTATGAGGTCCTTTACTTCATCATCCACATCTCGAATTCTCACCTATATTTAATATTTAGCATAAGTGGAACATTATCTGTAATCGTCAGTGTTCTCCAGAGAAACAGAACCAATAGGAGACAGACAGAGGGAAGAGATATTTAATGAGAATTGGCTCATGTGATTATAGAGGCTATGAATTCAAAATCTACAGGGTAGCCTGGTGGTATGGGAGACTGAAGGAGAGCCAATATTCCAGTTTGAAAGCCATTAAGTAGGAAGAGTCAGTGTTACAGATGATGAAATCCAAAGACAGTCAGCTGAAGGAGTCTCTCTTAATCCTGGGAAGTCAGTCTTTTTGTTCTATTAAGGCCTTCAACTGACTGGATGGGGCTCACCCACAACACGCAGAGCAATCTGCTTTACTCATGCCCACTGATTTAAAGGTTAGTCTAATATGAAAACACCCTCACAGAAACACCCAGAATAATGTTTGACCAACTACCTCGGAACCCCATGGCGCATCCCAATTGACACAATATTAACTATCACACTCTATATGAAGTAATTCTTCACTCCTTCAGAAAGAGTTAGTTGATTATTCTCTCATGCCACAAACACATCTACTATATATGCCTTTATTTTATTTATAATATTTTTTACACTTATTTATGTCAATCTCTTTTACCAGATATTAGATCAACGAGGAAGGAAATCACAGGTGACAAATACATGGCAAATTCAGTGCTTGATGGTAAGTGAATAAATGAACGGAGCAAAATAAATCTTTGAAAAATAGACATGAAAAGCAGTATACAAATAATTATTTTAATAAAACTAGATTACTGTGGCCAATGGTATGGTCAGAAAAATAATAAAACTAAACATTGCAGAGCTTTCAATTTTTTAAATATGTTATCTCATTTGATTCTGACATTAGTCATGCATACAAGTGGCTGGTTTTTTTCCCCATCTAATAAAAGTGGCAATTGAGGCTTAAAGAAGATATGGATTTGACCAATGTTGCAGAGTTAGCAATTGTCACTGCCAGGACTTCCGTACTCCATCTGTTTAGCACTTTTCCCTGCAACAGCCAGATTTTAATAAAAGCCTGTTCTAGTCTCCTATTATGTGATTTTTTAAAGCTAAGTATCTTTTACTTAGTTATTAATTTTTAGACTCTCACTGTACATGGTGAATTGATGTGCTGCTTCTTGGAGCAATATGTTGGAACATGCTACTGCTTGACTCATTTCCAATTTTCAATATCTGTAAAAAATGGAAGTAGTTCAAATAGCTGCAAATTAAAGCACAGTTTAAAACCACTGTATCATATCAAACCTATCTGTGCTTTGGTTTATAAGTGCACGCTGCTTGTGCATGGATAATCCATCACAGCTTAAAATTAGAAAAAGACTTGCAGCAGGTCACTGATTTCTCTGACAACATGACCTTCTAAATACTTCTTAAACTAAATAGATGTGTTTTCCTCTGAATGTTTTCAAATCAAGACACTTTCAGTGGAGGTTCATTTCTGTACTCTGGAAAGCCCATTCGAGTCTATGATTTAATTAAATTGGTATTTGCATTTATAAAACAGAAGTAACCGAGGGCAAGGGCATCTACTTATATATGTGTCCTAGTTCTATAATAGAGATGTGCACATCTGTCAAGGTTGTTGAAACTAAATCTGTGTGTCCTCTAATGTTGGATGGTATTCTGGACACTGCTTTAGCTTGCCTACAGAGCAGTGTCAGATTTCACAGATCCTCAAGGGATAAAAGGAATCTGTACTGAGATGTGGTAGTATTGAATTTGGCTAGTATTTCTCATCTCCCATTTTAAAACCTGATTTTATTATGTTTATTTTTGGTAAACACTTAAAAAGTCTAGGGATAACTATAAATGTATCTGTTCACATATACCCACCCAATATCAAATATCCAGCAAATATCAAATACTCAGCTATTTAAAAACATGTACATTACTAACAGAAGATTTGTTCTTCACAAAGATATTTAGAATTTTGTAAATACAGCATTTTTTCTGGACTCAGTGTTCATGTTATTCCTTTAAATCAATTTTCTTCTCTTTGCTTATGTGACTGGCATTCCAGATAATATTCCCCTTTTCATGCATTATTTTATACAAACTCCCCAAGATTTGTATCTCCCCCATCCCCCATACTTGCAATTTTAAGTTTTTTATAACATTCCATTTGAAGAAATAGTGGGTGATATTTTTATAAGGAATTGTGGGCTTCTTATAGGATGAGGGTAGTGATCATATTTCTTTTAGCCAGAATCACCATATTGTTAACTATGAATTGCAGAAAGGAAGAATGCTTCTTTAGAGTATAAGATATGTGACCTGGTCTGCCTGTGGTGGGAAAAGACTTAAACTTGTGTGATTGTAGGGAGGAAGCTTTAGGCTTTTTATTGGGAGCTGTTCCAGGAAGTTGTGTGCAGCTGAGACAGAGAATATATTAGTGGGCTTCTCCTCACAGGGAGATGGTGTAAATACAAGAGTTTGGAAAGTAGAATGGGGGCTGGGGTGGGGATACTGCCGCAGCTGTGGAGAACTGCATACTTCTTTTTGCCTAATGAGAGGGATCTAGAAGAAGCATCTGGCAGCAGGGAGGGTCTACATTTTATTATAGACAAGAATAGAAGATGAAAGGATATGGTAGATGGAATACATGCACTTTAGAAAAGCATTTAATACAATGTCTGGTGAAATTGCACTTTAAAATACTTCTAGTACATATAACCCTCAAAACAGATGAGAAACACATGAGAAACTGCACATAAAGGAAATGGCATCATAGCTAGAAGTAGTTGGCATCAAGGTGCTTGGGAGGACTCTGAGCATTCTCTGTAGAGTCCCTTAGGGCCTGCATCGCCTACTCCAGTAACTAGAAACGGGGATTATGGGAGGTTTGTACATAATTCATGGATGATGCTGAGTGGGGAAGCAATATGTGCACATATAAATCCTACAACAGAGCCTGAGGAACTAAAGGATATATACTTCAGAGTCCAGAGGTCATGAGAAGTAGGAATTGTATTCTTCCTGTGTTCTTAGCAGTACCTGGTTCAGCTTTGGGATCTAGCAATCATTCACTTAGTCCAAAATGTCAAAGTTCATCCTGAACAAAAGACTTATTTTTGTTAATCTACCTTGACAAAATAGCAGAAGCTAATAACAGCAGGTGGAAACTTCTATTTCCTTAATATAAGAGGTAAATACAATTAATATGAAAAAAAACCATGGAAATATGTTATATATAAAATGAAATAGAAATTCATCAGTACATTACAGAATAAAACTTTTCTGTTATATTTTAAATGATTAGTGTGAGAATTATATTTTTATACTTAATAACTAGGATAAAGGAAAATGAAAGCTGAAATCTAAGGAACAGAAATTATATTAGAAAGTCCTGTTACAGTGGCAATAATTTGAATTACAAATATAATTGTAACCTTAAATTACTCCAGGGTATTTTTCTCACGAAGAGTAAGTGGTATATGCTAATGCATGATATAGAGTTTGATAAGATATTTTGATAGCTTCACAAAGCTAGGACAAAGGCCATATGGTAAAATCAATGTATAATCTCAGCTTCTAAATCTTGTTATGTTTAAAAGCGGCTTTAAAAATCATTTGTCTTATAAAAAGACACACGTTCTTTTTAATGGAAAGCAGTATGCATCTGAGTACAATTTGTGACTTTAATCTGACTCCTAATAAGAAAAAAATGCTATGTAAACATAAGACCAATTATTGATAAGAGAAAGGAGTAAATCTAACACAAATTCTCTTCTTTTTTGACCCTGGAAATAAAAAAGATGCAGAAGTCATCAAGCTGCGTGGACAAATGTTAGGCAGAATAAGGCTTTATCTCTAATTTACAGAAAGCTGTCATGGATGAGACTCGCACTCAACTGAAAGAGCAAAGCAATTGATGGATATTGGCCTAAAGCCCTGGAGCAGCACATGCACTTTGAAAATATTTTAACTTTAATTTAAAATATTCAAGATAGTTGAAAGACCCGTCTACTCAAAACAGAGTGTAAACTACTACTAGGAGAATTAGTCTTTAATGACAATTAAGAATCAGAGTCAAAATTTGCAAAACAATTTTGTAAAGTTGTATATAGATATTGAATTCAGTAAATTAAATAGACAAATCTTTTTCAAGACCGAGAACTACATTTTCACAGTCATGTTTACCTTTTAAAGCAAATTGTTTTAATGCTTCCTGCCCCCAATAAATGATTCTTTGTCCACTAAGTATGTCTTTAGGAAAGTTTGGTGTCTCAAACATTTAAGTATGCTCAATGAACCACTGCTCTCAACATACCCAAAGTTAGTGATTTTAGTACTAAATTTACAATGTGAAGCCTAAAAATGAGAATAAATGGAACCTGTCTACATACCATGTATTTAAATTCTACCCATAGAGTAGAATTTTGTAATAAGCAAGAGCAAATGAGCTTAAAAATATACATTCTTTTAACTTTTAAAAATTATTTTACTTTATCTGTTTCTCTTATTTCTGTTTTCATTGTTAACATTTCTTCATTACAATTATTTGTTGTTTATACTGTCCTTCTCTGGTTTTATTGCTTCTATGTCTGGATAGAGACTAAGCAAAGTGAATAGTTTGACATGTGAAGTTCTGCGATTGCCTGATCCCAGCTCGGGCTGAGTGCCAGGGCTCCCACTCACCAGATTTTCATCTGTCTGGATTATTTCATCTCACCCTTTTGGCCTTTGTTCTCTAGGAAACCTCCATGGGTCAGGAAAATTACATATCCAAAAGTGCTCTGCATTGCGTTCTCCCAAAAATAAGGTCACATAATTATATTCGTTTTATTTGCTTTTGGCTTCCAATTTAATATTTAGTAATTCATATGACTATTCAGGATTTTGAGAGTGTTTAGCAAGAGGAGGATAATTGTTGATATAGAAAGAGAGAGTGTCTTTCTTGTGGCTGTTGTCTAACCTAATAACCTCCCTTAAGCCAGCCAGGAGGCAGGTTATTTCATACATGGACATGGGTACACTGAGGTTCTCTATAATACTCCTCTGCCCTACTGACACCCATTTTGTGTGGGTGTCCTGAAATCTCTATCTCACCTAGTCTGCAACATTCCATATCCCCTTTGCAAGTGCTAAAGTAATTACATTTTGAAGGAAATTTTCTAAATATTATATTATCAATGATTGATCAAGGTCTTTATTGATGAGATATTAACTGGAAAGACAGAGTATCTGGAAAGAGCAAAGCAAAATGAAAAATATTGTGTAGTAAGATTCTGCAAATTATGTGGTATAATCCACATTTTAATTGCCTTTTGGGGCAAAACAATGTATTATGAGAAAGTGAATGTATTTAATATTACATTGCATCAATTAGTAAATGATTATATTGCTGATGCCATAAAATTTAAGCCTAGAATGTTAATCTAGGAAATAAATTCAATTTTATGTTACTAGTTTATTCTTGAACAAATCTATATATTGAATAAGAACTTAATGTGATTATTTTCTATTCATACACAAAATTTGAATTGCAATTGTTAATTGCTTTGGCAAAAATCCTTATGATTCTCACAATGTCAAATTGTTTTGGAAACATGCTCATTGTAAGATAAAAAAATTAGTAGACACAAAAGGACAAAAATGTCTGGAATTTTAAAGATTCATTGATTCATTCATTAAGTCAATAAGTATTTACTGGTATTTACTACATATTCAATGATTGTGCAAAGTGCTAGAAATTCAAACACAAATCTATTTACCAGATCCCAGCCCTGAAAATGCCCTTCTAAATGCTGCACTTCTACAAAGCACTCTTTCGTCATATGCTTGAGCAAGATCTGGAAGAAACAGACATGTAAACACAGTGAGACTGTGCAATGTGGGATAATATTCAGTAGGAGTCTGCAAAGAACATTTATGGCAAAAAGAGAAGATTTACATCAACTGCTTAAATAAACATATAAACTAAAGTAATTTTGTCATACTTTTAAATTTTCTGTATCCCCTACCATGGTTCTTCTTAGTTCATTTACTGAGGAAATATTTAATTCCTTACTGTTGCTATGCAATAGTGAAGAAAGCCCTGTGCTCATGGAGTTTTCAATTTAGCAGCGAAAACAAACTTTGACCAGGAATCGCAAGGGTGCCGCATGTTATAGAGGAGAAGAGGTGAGTCATTGGAACATAATAGATAGTCTTCACTTTGCTAGGCTTCCAGGAATAAGTGGAGAATGAACAGTGACTTCACAGAGTAACATGCCAGTTTCTTGACCACCATAATGGGCATTTTTATAAGCCTACCTGTTATTTGCTGGAGGGAAAATGATCAACATGATTCACATTTTAATTCTCTTTTAGGACAAGACATTATATTATTGAGAACTAAGTGTATTTACTGTTTGATTTCATTGGTTAATGTGTAATAACACATTTCTCTTGCTGATTATCTATATTACCATAAATGCTTATGGCAACAAAAAACAAAGGAACCAAAACGTTAATGGATATGAGGACATTCAGTTTTTTCTATAACATGTTCTCCAAAGCAATGACATGGTAAATAATTTGACATTACAACACAAGAAATCCACACATACTGCTTCATTTTATGTAGATGTGCTTGGGAATAAGTAGATGTACACATTTATTCAGGTCTCCAACATACTATCAGGATAACGTATTTTGGCAGCAAAGTACTGCATTGCTCACATTTTACCATTTCCATTAAACCAGAACTCTATGTATAAATTTGGATACATTTATCTTCTATTTGTTAAATTATTTATTGCATAGCACATGTCCTCTCTGTATCTGATTTTGTTGTTGTTGTTGTTGTTGTTGTTGTTGTTGTTGCAGATAAATCTGCTTCACTGGAAGATTACCTGTTACTGTGTGTTTGTTTATTCTCCCTTTACGTTTCACACAAGAACCCTAGCTCAGTGTCTGTTCTGTAGTCAGTACTTAATATATTTTTTGGTGGGTTAAATGGAATGTAATGGGTTTGAGTAAAACGTCTATCAAGTCAATCATACAAACACTTTTGAAGTAATAAATCCCAGAAAAAATGCCTGAATACTGAACAGAAGGTCCACAATTGTATAAATATCCTAACCATGATTATGATTATTTTTCTATAGTATATGGGGACATGAAAAATCAAAATATCTAAATTATTAATTTTGGCTGCTTTTTCCAACCAATCTCTTAATTAGAACTAGTAGCTAACAGTCTGATTTGAGAATTACTTTCCTCTAACTAATTTATGTTATAAAGGGAACAACATCAGTGGAATGATTAAATACTGAAGAAACAAAAGACCTAGAGAGCCCATAGATGACAAGCTCTGAATTATCAAGATTATCTTTCTAATTGCAGCCCAATTATAACAGATTGGAATGTTGCTATGTCAAAAAGAGACTTATAACCCAGATATCTCAATACCAAATAGATATAAAGAACACACACTCTCCACAAGGAAGATGTTTATTAATACAGGTTTACAGCTTGTGGAAAACGTCTTGGTAACCAGCATTAGTCTATAGGCAATAGCTTTCTAGAAGGAATTCCTAGAAGGAATAGGAATTCAAAAAATAATTCCAGACTGAAAAGGACACTAAATGTGATGAAGAGGTCATTGGGCAGAGATCAAAGGAGGTCTGCAGCTGTTCCATTCTGGTTGTCTTGGTGTGCTCTTTGATGTCCATAAAACTGTTTGGGCTAAAATCAGCCCTGCAGAGAAAGAGCCACTCCCATTTCCCCCCACCTACTTTTGCCAGCCCCACCTGGGAGTGGAGAATTGGGTAAATACCCAGACATATTGGCTATTTAAACATTTAGAATTACAGGAATATTTTTGCTTTAGATAAGATGTATGGTAGATGATTAAATAGAAAGTGTACAAGAGTTTTTTTTTTATGAATCATCTTTATGGTGAAATAGTCCACATACATATAATCTACCCATGTAAAATGTACAGTTTAATGATTTTTATTACATGCACAGATATGTGCAAATATCAGCCAAGAAATTTTAAACAATTTGCAAATATCATCACAAGAAATTTTTAACAATTTTTATCACCACCAAGAGAAAGCCTGTACCCTCTAGCCATTGCCCTTCAGCTTCTTCCCCCACCTTCTCCCCAGGCCTAATCAAACCTAACATACTTTCGGTCTTCATAGATTTATCTATTCTGGACATTTTATACAAGTAGAATTACATAACATGCGGTATTTTTTGAGTGGCTTATTAACAGAATGTTGAGTATTTTTTTATTTCTAGGTTAATTTTCTTTTTAGTCCCTCCACTCTATTTTTTATGAGTGGGAATCTCAGATTTTCAGAAATGAATCTGGTCATTCCTTCATGTGTAGTATCTTATACCATCAAAATGTTCTAATCTCTGTATACCTTTATATGTATTCTTAGAAAGTATGAGGTTACTATTGAAATAAAAAAATTAGCCACTAGGAATGCTACCTTTTATGATGTCATGCTTTGTCTCACTAACATCTTTATTATCTTGCTAAAATTTTTATTTTAAGCCTAGCAATTATTTCGTTTAGACACATTTCTTTTGGTTACGGTCCCTGAAATAAAAAAGGTTTAATTGTAAGAGGAAAAAAGTACCTACATGTGCACAGAGATTTAAGCATAAATAAAAATCTCTATCCTCATACTCTAGTTGGGCACACATTTCCTACATCTTTCACTATGGCAACAGTGCTGGCTGGCTCACTCAGGCCAAAGTGACACAAGTCTGGTATCCACTGGTGCATTTTCATAGCCAAAATGAAATTGAAAGTAATTATTGCATAACCTAAGAAATCCCTCTCCCACAATTCCTTTAACTACTTAGCTAATAGGTTTTCTGTCTGAAACATCCCAATTAGTTATAACACTTCACACTTCAGCCTGGCTGTGGAGGCTTGCCAGTACAATGATGTTAGTCTGTCCTCTGTGCAGGCAAATATCTCCACAGCAAGGAATGTGCTTTCTGAAGAATGACTATCCCAGGTACCTTAGAACATACCAAAGACAATCCAAACAACAGCATTGCAAAGTGGGTCTGTTTTATTTCATTTTAAAAGCCAAAGAGACTCAGCACCACGAAGCTAACCTGTTTCCTTAACTGGGAAATTTCACTTAATCTCTGTGACACAGAAGAAAATAATATTTAGAAAGTATCTCAATGGAAGCAATGAAGATCCCCAATATAGATCATATAGGAAAAAGCTTACCCACATGACCAAGTTTGTAGTTTATTCTGAAACTTACCCTATATCTGCATTTATACTTTATAAGCAAAGTCTGGTTGACAGGATAGATAATGCACTAACCAATAGAAAACAAAAACAGTATTTGCTTTTGTATTGAAGATTCAAGATTAAAAAAATAAACATTTTAAATATGTCTTTTTTCACCTTTATTATAATTCAAGAGTACTTCATGTTCAATTGTAAATATCGATTTGGGACATAATTTTTGGACCAACTCTTGTTTCTGAAATTTAAAAAAGAAGTTTGCTTCATTTTGTCTAGGGTTTTGTTTTGTTTTATTTTCCTCAATAAGAAAGAAGAAACTGTAAGGTTAAACATTTCAGCTTTCTTAAAAGCTTTTGATGCACTTGATTTCCTTTCAAGGTCTCATTTTCATATGTCATTTTAGGGATAGGAAAAATAATTGTGATTATGGCAATTGTAAATGGAAAGAAATGGAAGGAAAAAAAGACTGTATTAATACCTCATAAGCAAAGCACAAGGTCTTGTTTACATAAGATTTTTATGAAATATTCCTGCAATGCCTAATCATTCCAGGCAGAAGTACCTATAGGGTAGCCAGCAGAGGGGATATAGGGACCAGGGGCATATTTCATCACTGGGAGAGCCACCATGAGTTATGCCTGTCTCGTCTGTTCTTGGTTTCAAGGGGAGCCTTGGCACAGAGCTGGCCCTGGAGATAGTATTGTGGTGGCGACATAATAAACACTGTCGCCCGTAGGTTCAATAACTCAAGTGGGAAACAGCTGGGTGACTATGCCCAGGGCATTCTCTTTTCCTGTCCAGTTAATCTGTCCCTGTAGGGATGGAGGAGAAAGACACTGAGAATGAGATCACAGGAAAAGTTCAGAGAGGCCTAAAGAGCAGTGGGGCCAAGCAGCACTGCAGCCCAGGGATGCAAACTTCCCCAGCTGTCGGTTTGGACACCACACACTAATTTTAAAGCAGAAAGATAAGCCTTAGCAAGTTGTGTGCCTTCCCCAAGTAAATTTATTTCAAAGCTCTAGCCTCATTTGTACAAAAAGAGACAAATAAAAACTTACGTTTGTTATTCACTTCTAATAAGGAGAAAAATTTGCAAAAAGTGTGATTATTTTGATCCTCTCGTACTCTAATGCATGAGTTTCTCCACATGTAATATGAATGGTCATTCCTATATGGATCATAGCCATAGGTCTGTTTTTAAAATTACATATTGTAGTAAAGGTTTAACCTTAGTTTCTAATTCTGTCCAAAGGCAACATGTTGTTTTGTTTGTTTTGATGAGGTTCCTTAAAATGTTCAAACCATAAAACAAAATTATTCTAGATGGATGGAAACTAAACCACAATGTTTTAGTGAAATGAAAATCATCACCCTATTCCCAATCACTTAAGTAGATTAGGTAACAAGTTAAAGAGCCTACGATTTTTTAGGACTGGTAGACATATCTGTTAACGAACCTTATTTGCATCTTTACTCTCATGCATCTCCACTTCTGAACCTCTAAAATCACAGGTCACAGTACTTGCTACAGTTGCGGGGGTATCATTCTTTCTTCTAGGTTAGCAATACAGACAGTATGTTAATCTCTGGGAAACGCATTCAGCAGAACATCAGTCATCAAAAATGTATTCAACACTTACGTGCTCAGCACTTGATGTTCCAGTTAGAATAAACTCTGTACCATTCCTCCCACATGTGATTATTTTAGTCTTGATTTCTTTGATCATAACAATCTCTCTGCTCACATTGCTTTCCCCACGTTACTTAACTACACGTATCTCCGTTCAAATTTTGCCCATTCTTCAAGGCACGGTTCAAATGCTTCTTCATTTGGAAACTATGTATTATTTCTTTCAGTGAAAGGTGACTTCACTCTTTTTTTTTTTTTTTTTTTTTTTTTTGAGACGAAGTCTCGCTCTGTCGCCCAGGCTGGAGTGCAGTGGCGCGATCTTGGCTCCCTGCAAGCTCCGCCTCCCGGGTTCACGCCATTCTCCTGTCTCAGTCTCCCCAGTAGCTGGCACTACAGGTGCCCGCCACCATGCAAGGCTAATTTTTTTTGTATTTTCAGTAGAGACGGGGTTTCACTGTGTTAGCCAGGATGGTCGCGATCTCCTGACCTCGTGGTCCGCCCGCCTTGGCCTCCCAAAGTGCTGGGATTACAGGCGTGAGCCACCGCGCCCGGCCGACTTCACTCTTTAATGTTTCATACAACCTTATTGGTACCCAGGAACAGTTACGTAATTTGTGGGTTCCAGGACAAAATGAAAATGAAATGCCCCTTGTTCAAAATGTAGTAAGAATTTCCATCTCACACCAGGTAGAATGGCGATCATTAAAAATTCAAGAAACAACAGATGCTGGAGACGATGTGGAGAAATAGGAAAGCTTTTACACTGGCGGTGGGAGTGTAAATTAGTTCAACCATTGTGGAAGACAGTGTGGCGATTCCTCAAGGATCTAGAACCAGAAATACCATTTGACCCAGCAATCCCATACTGGGTATATACCCCAAGGAGTATAAATTATTCTGCTACAAAGACACAGGCACACATGTTTATTGCAGCACTATTCATAATAGCAAAGACTTGGAACCAACCAAAATGCCCATCAGTGATAGGCTGGATAAAGAAAATGTGGCACATATACACCATGGAATACTAAGCAGCCATAAAAGGGATGAGTTCATGTCTTTTGCAGGGACATGGATGAAGCTGGAAACCATCATTCCCAGCAAACTAACACAGGAACAAAAAATCAAACACCACATGTTCTCACTCATAAGTGGGAGTTGAACAAGGAGAACACATGGACACAGGCAGGGGAACATCACACACCCAGCCTGTTGTGGGGTGGGGGGGCAAGGGGAGGGATAGCATTAGGAGAAATACCTAATGTAGATGACAGGTTGATGTGTGCAGCAAACCACCATGGCACGTGTATACCTCTGTAACAAACCTGCACATTCTGCACATGTATCCCAGAACTTAAAGTATAATTAAGAAAAATCAATTTCCAGACAACAACAGCAGAGCATTAAACCAAATGTAGGCCCTTCTAAGCACACGGCCCTGTGAGACTGCACACGTCATATGCTCATGAAGCCAGCCCTGTCTACACCTCCTCAATGTACTAATTGCTATTAATTTTATTAATGCATGAGCTATTTTTACACATGGGTTGACTTTTCTCTTCGAATATAGTGTAGGCTCCTTGAGAACAGTGTCTGCATGTATTCCACAGTAGCAAAGAGAGTCTTACAAAATGTCAGATATTCTAAACTCTTGCTACTAAAATATAGTCCATGGACTGATTTCACCTGGGAATTTATTAGAAATGCAGAATCTCAAACTCCACCCGAAACCAACTGAATCAAATCCACATTTCACAAGATCTGCATGTAATCTGTATGCACATTCAAGTTTGAGAAGCATCATTAAACGAGCAAATGAATAGCCCTCTAAAACAAAAGTCACCATTAGGTGAGAAATTCATGCATTGGGGTATTATGTATTATTCCATCAAACTCTAATGGAAAGGTAATTTCTGCTTTTCTCAACAAGAGGGAAGTATCAGATTAAGACATTTTATTCCTCTTTTCAGATTTCAATTCAATCCCTCCCAATTTTTCTTTTCTTTGAGAAAAGGATTACTTTTCTCACTAATGATGTATAGAAGAGCCAGGTAGCTGCTGGACACATTTTACCAGAAAATATGCCATGTAAAAGATAGGTATAGGAATACAGATCTGTAAATTTCTCTCTCTCTCTCTCTCCCGCCTCTATTTCTCTTTTCTCTGTACTCTAATTTGCATATTGTTGCATATTGCTAATAAACAGTGAAATAATTCTGTCGGTGTGGCATAAGTGAAAGAAGAAAAACTGGCATATGGATTGACATCACTCAGCTTTCATCAGAAAATTCAAAAGGTGTCATAACAATTATAATGGTCTGCCTTTAATTCTCTCATTGGTTCCTATTTGAACTTTCCATATTAACACTAATCCCGAGCAGCTAACAAAGTGGTTATCTGGCAAGGTGGAATATTTTGGGAAATTCTCAAAAAATTTCAGCTCTCAATTTCAAATATACAGGAATGTACAAGTAGATTACTCTCTCAAAATGGCAACCCTGTGATTTGAGATTTAAAGGAAAGAAAAATAAGTAGAAAATGTGATATAAAATTATCAATTTCACCATATTAAGAATGATACTAAATAATTTAAATTCACCAATTTAGGAAAAAGTCCACTAAAGAAAGAGTTATTTCAATAATGCCAAAAAGGAAACATGATTTTATTTTTACTGCTACTGCTTGCTTACTTGTTCCCAAGATAGTTTATTTTAGCAAGGTTAGATCTTAGGGCTCTAAATTCTCAAGGTATATAATCAAAATTTAGCTTCTCAGGTATATAATCAAAGTTTAGAAGCCTAATACACCTGGACTTTAAGAAAATTCACAAAACCTTTATAAAATCCTTAACTCTAGAAGTGAACATATGTAAATGACCGTAGTTGAACATTAAAGTTCTGTAGGAGAGCTTTTAGCAACTTTTTATCTAGATAGCCTTCAAATTCTTCAGTCTTCATTTTATTTACTTATATTTACAGAAGTGAGGTTTCTTTGAAATTACTTTGGAGAACCTGTTGGTGTTTTAAAGGTAATAATTGCAGGTGATACCATAGTGAGTTCAGCTGTTCAAGCTCCAAAACACCACATAGAATGACAATGTGACAGACCAATGATACAATGGGAAAAGCCTGAAACAGTACGTTGAGTTTGATTAAAAGTCATAACTTTATTCAAAGCCTGCCTGGTGATAGTAGCTGCTGGTAAATACAGATGAAACTGAAGTAAGCTAAATTACTCTTTTCCGATTTATTTTTGATAATTGGTGGCAGAAGGTGGCTACAGTTTTAGAATAGAACCTCTGATTCCATTTTATAAGCGCTGATCCTGATTCTACTTCTATGTATTAGTTATCTATTTCTGCATAACAAACTACTCCAAAACTTAGCACTTAAAACAACATCCATTTGTTACCTCACATGTTCAAGGATACTGGTGTGGCTTATCTGAGTGCCGTGCCTCAAGCTCTTTCATGAGTTTGCATTCAACCTGTAATCCAAAGCTGCATGTTCACATGAAGGCCTAGCTGGTGAATGATCTGATTCCAATTTCACTCACATGAACCTAACCAGGGGACTGCTTCATGACATGCAAGCAATCCGAGACAGAGCAACAGCACTCCTTCAAGGGGAAGCCAATATCTTCCTAAAACCTAATCTCAGAAGTGACATCACACCAGTTCTGTAGTTTTGTATTTATTAGAAATGAGTCATTAATCCAGCTCACACTCAAAGGGAGGGATTCCTCAAAGGCATAAATACCAGGGCATGAAATCACTGGAGGCCATCTTAAAAGCTGCTTATTATAACCTTCCACTTAAGAGAAAATATGTGTAAGAAAAACATAAGTAATTTCTTCTGTTTTAAGCTGCTGCCAACATTTTCTAATGCATTTTACTTAATCAGTCCAGTAAAATTTATCTGCAGCTCTCCCATCTAATTTGAGAAATATGACATACTCTATTTGGCACATTTTTGTTTCATGAATTGACTATACTCTTCACTTTGTGAGAAATACAAAAAAAGTTTAAAATGTATTAATCAGAATTATTTTATTTGCAAGTAACCATAATCCTTACCTATAAATAAAAGTAAAACAAATTGAATGCCTGAAAAATACAGAGGTGCGTTTTCCTTTAGGTATGGCAGAATATAGGAATTCAGCAACTTTTATCCTCTCTCTCTTGTTCCTTCTCTCTTTTCTGTGGGATTTTTTTTTTCTGTTTTGAATACTTTCTCAAACAAATACTGTTGAAATAGAGAGTCCCAATATTTCTAGATTCATATATACAACCAACATTTTTATTAGGCAGCAAGTTTTTTTTAATTTCAAAAATTCCAACTGACATCCTAGAATTGTCTTTATTATCATCACTGCTTAAATTACATACATATTTTAACTAAGGAAAGGGCATATAAAGAATATGTGAAGGGCCAGGCCTGGGTAATACGTCTATCCTACAGTTTCACTCAAATGACATGTACTGAGTATGAACAAGAAATTAATCCTAAAGAAAAACTGGGTAATAAAAGTTGCAAAGCTGGTTCAGCAAAAACTATGTATATCTACTATAAATATTTATTCAATGTTTATAATGTACCAGACAAAATGTTGATATTAGTACAATTTTACTACAGGTTGAGTATTACTTTTTTGACATGCTTAGGAACAGAAGTGTTTCAGATTGTAGATTTTTTATGATATTGAAATATTTACATATATGTGAATATATATACATACACACACAAATAATAATATTATATGTATATATTATTTTGAGCATGGAACCTAGAAGGTAATTTTATGTAATATTTTTAATAATTTCATTCATGAAACAAGGTTTCTGCACATTGAACCAACAGAAAGCAAAGGTGTAACTATTTCATGTTGACATGCAAAAAATTTCACATTTGGAACATTTCCTATTTTGGATTAGGAATGCTAAATCTGCACCAAATTGTATAGGTGTATCAGTTCATTCGCATGCTGCTAATAAAGACATACCAAAGACTGTAATTTATAAAGAAAAGAGGTTTAATTCACACACAGTTCAGCATGACTGGGGAACACTCAAGAAACATGCAATCATGGCGGAAGGGTGAGCAAACATGTCCTTCTTTACATGGCAGCAGCAAGGAGATTTGCAGAGTGAAGAGAGGGAAAAGCCCCTTATAAACCATCAGATCTCCTGAGAACTCACTCACTATCACACAAGCAGCATGGCGGTAACCACCCCTATGATTCAATTACCTCCCACTGCGCTCCTCCCGTGACACATGGGAATTATGGAAACTGCAATTCAAGATGAGAGTTGGGTGGGGACACAGCTGAATCATATCAGTAGGTTTCTTCAACTTGTGGGAAAGTAGTATTAGAATAGGGCTGGTTAAATGGTAATGGGGTGTGCTGAGTCTCTTCACTCAGCTCAGAGGAGAAAAAATCAGTTTAAGTAAAATTTTGCATTATAGGTACTTCTGTAACTTTGTATGGTTTTAAACAAGTTATATTAAAATAATTAAATGACTTATAGTAGAGAGAAATTATTTTTGAAGCAATAAAGGTAAAAATTAGTATGCTGCACTATTGACGTCATAAAGGTATAAATTTACCACCTCCTGTCTCTCTGGCTACATAGTCATAGAAAGAAGAAAGTCACCTCAACACTGATTTGTCTTTCTCTCTCTTTAGTACCTTCTTTCACAGGAACCCCATTGAGGCCAAGCTAAGCTTTAAATAATCGCAATGGTCAAAGATTAGAGTGATGTCAAATATTACAGTAATTTTTTTTTTTACTCCAGAATGTGATCCTAAGGTAAATCTTATAACTTACTGAATCCAGTTTTGTCAAGGATAATACATTAACTCGTGTAATAGAATAAAAGATCAAGTCTTTACGCAGTATGTTTTAGGAGAGTCACATTACTCACTAGAGTTTTCTAACACTTTGTTTGGAAATAAAGATCTAAAGGAACACTAGACAAATAGTAAAAGCTACCAAAATAAACTTTTATTTTCCTGGTTTTAACCAAAAAATTAAATTTTAGAAAAGCTGAGGGTCAGTTATGGAATGCAGTTGTCCGGAGAATAGACAGATGTTCATTTTTATTTGCTTAAGAGTATAAACTATTGGATCACTGCAGCAGTTATAAATGATTTATGGAATGAGACACATTCTTGTTTAATGCACAAAGACTGTCAACTGTTCTAGCAATTACAGAGATATGGTACTATTTTTAGTGGTATAGTTACACAGGAACTACATTATTATTATATGAAATATGAAATATAAACTAACTTCTCTCACTATGGAGTTCTCATGAAGTTACATCTAGTAGAAAAGTAGTGAGAGAATAATTACATTTCTTTGCAACCTGTGTCTACACTTGCATAATAAAGTGGAATAACAGATAATATACATAATTTTAGTTTTAGCATTTGGCTCCACAGGGACACTTAATGGCCACTTGTTACGTAACCCAAGTGTCAGTCCAAGTCCACCATCCCCCTTCCAGGGTCATCTTTGTCTAATATATTTGAGCAAAATGGTTGTGTCTCATCTCCACTTCACAACCACACATCTGCCAGTTGCTTCTCTACTCCCATCCCCCTCCTGTCCATGGCATTGATTTTCTACATTATCTGCACCTCCAGGTACAACCTGGTTCATTTTATTCTCTAAAGCATCACCAATTTAAAGATGTATGTATGGAAAACTTTGTGTGTAAATTTGAGGCGATGGTGGAGGTCATTTTTGGAGCCTCACAGCCTGGGAAGATTCTTAAGTAAACTACAAGAAATTCTTTTTTCTAAGAAAGAGATCATGTCTATTTACAGGAACATAGATGGAGCTGGAGGCCATTTCCTTAGCAAACTAACACAGGAACAGAAAACTAAATACCACATGCTCTCACTTATGCATGAGAGCTAAATGATGAGAACACATGGACACATAGAGGGGAACAACACACACTGGAGCCTATGGGAGGATGGAGGGTGGGAAGAGGGAGAGAATCAGAAAAAATAACTAATGAGCACCGGGCTTAATACCTGGGTGATGAAATAATCTGTACAACAAACCCTCATGACACAAGTTTGCCTATGTAACAGACCTGCACATCTACTCCTGAACTTAAAATAAAAGTTAAAAAAATACATTCTTCTTTCTTAAATATTCTTCAGCGATTCTACCATAGAAACTTCACACTTTTTTTTTAATCTCAGGATTCCATTTCACTCCCAAATTGCAGATTTCTCCTTTTCCCTTGACCTCTTCCTCAATTTTCTCAAGCATTCTCTCCCCCAATTCCCAGGTTTCTGTTAGTGTGCTTGGTATATGATGTTATCATTTTGCCTAGTACTAGTCCATGGAGCCACAGACCTATTAGAGTATTTTCCCTAGAATATATTTGTTGCACAGATGCATGAAACTCTAATATACACAGACAGACAGCAAGATTGAGCAACACACACACACACAAAAAAAAACAAGATACAGACACAAGACACACACATACAAATACACACAAATAACAATATACAGAAGGATATACAGATAAAGTCATTATATAGATGGGTTATATATATATAGGTATTTTAAATATATTTTTATATATATTTTATATATATATTTATAGGTATTTAATAATGACTTTTATATATATATAAAACCCATCTATATAATGACTTTATATGTCTTTATATATATTTATATATATATCTCTTTATATAAGTCATATACATAAATTCCCATGTAGGAAATTCTATAGAAATGATATATATATATAAATATATAAATGTATATATAAATGGATATAAATATATATTCAAACATACATATTCAGCATACAGATGAAAAAAATAAGACTGGAATAGAAAAGGGTGCTTTTTTTTTGGTTGTTACCACTAACGTAATATAAATGAAATGCTACCACTCATGAAGTGTACAATGTAATGCTTACTAAATAAAGAGATACCAAAGGACATTTAATCTGAAGCTTGCTTTACTTGAACTAAAGTAAAATAATAGAATGAGCACTCAATACACACACACACACTCACACAGAGTCAGGGAAACAATCTATACAATTCAGGTGAATACTGCTTATGAATGCATTTCCATGTTTGTGCATTTCTATTATAAGCATGACAGAATTCATATAACTTAAGTAGCCATTGTCTTGTGCCTCCTCCTTTTGATGACTTTGTATTGTCATTTTTATCCTGGCTTCTGAAAACTATTGTCATTCTGTAGGTAGAGATAATACCCTGTGAGCAAGGGAAGTTTGTCAAATGTGGGCAGGAATAGGAATAAAGCTATCTTATTTCTTGTCTTGGTTTTACCTCTTGGCTGTGTAGAATCTTAGAAAATCTATCTAGTCTCCCTTTACCCATATAGTTTCCCATTACACAAAGTGAGACAACTATATATTGTTTATGATTTCTCTCATTCAAACATTCTAATTATACTGTGCAAACATAATTAGTCATATCTCGCATTTAGTATCACAGACTGATCATAATTTTGAAAATTTTATTCACAGAGAAAGCCCATCCGTAAATAGTGAATGTAGACTACACCCTTCCTATGCAAATTGTGAGTAGGTCTGGAAGGAAGTGTCAATTCCCTTTGGTGCTACTGAGGCATCAGGGTGCTCATTAATATCTACATGGTCAGCATGACTCTTTAGCCCTGAAAGTTCTACCCATGTTCCAGGTGAGGGAAATTCAGGCTGATTCAGGCATCATTTCTATAGAATTTCCTGCATAGGATTTTAAAGTTGAAATACTATGCAAACAAAACCAGAATTGAGACTTGTTCAGTGAGCACAGTATGGCTAAAGGATACAGGCCAGTTTACTAAGCCATTTTCTTAGTTATACAACTAATTCAGACATCTCTATATAAAATACACAAACTTAAGTTGAGTTGAGGCTACCTGGATACGGCTCCTTGCTAAAGACTGGAGGAGGAAATTCGGCTTCAGGAATCAGCCTTCTTTTTCACCCTTTGCTCTTGAGGTAATTTCTTATACACCTTAAGTTGTCCTAGCGAACCTCTTTGTTCAACTAGCCCTTATACTGTGCTGTATCTTTTCAAGTTACTTTATACTGTAGCGAGTTTACTAATGCAAGTAGTTATTATGTTCCATTGTTATCATTATTAGACATTAGTAACTAATATTAAGGGCTCACTGTATGCTTAACACCATTCTAAATGCTTTATGTGGATTAACTCATTTTGTCCTTATGAATTAATGAAGAAGGAATGTTATTTAAAGTTCCATCTTACAGATGAAGAAACTGAGGCACAGGGTACTAAAGTAACTTGCCTAAGTTAACACTGCCAAGAGGGATATCAGAATTTGAACCCAAATATACTGATTCTATACTCTGTCCTCTTAACCACTACCTACACTGCCATTTGTTGACTTAATTATGTCTATTGCACAATCCTTCAGTTATTACTCTTATTCTAATTAGTCCTTTCTGCTGTGTGTGTGTGTGTGTATATATACACACACACACACATATATATATACATATATATATACACATATATATACATATATATACATATATATGTGTATATATATATATATATGTGTATATATATATATACACGTATATATATATACACTGCTTCTCTGTTTTTCTCCTTTCTCTTGTATTTTAACACTTTTATTTTCTGTATGGGACAGACTGCATGCAGTGATCTACTCAGACCTGACAGGGCCCTTGTTGCTTCTCTCTTATTGCTGTCTGTTCTGTCTCTGTTTTTTCTCTCTTATACCACCTGTCCAACTTCAATACAAAGTGACTTACTACTCTCTGCTAACATTTCCACTCAGTCTACGTTCCCAAGGCCGTTGGATCAAAGATTCTCTTCTTCCCTCAAAATGCGGCTTTTTCTATGATTTATTTTAATTATGTGTGGTTTGAATGATTATCTTTGTTTCTGAAAAAAATGTATTCTTTGAACAACAACAACAAAAATCTTTGAGGATTTTGTTGGTGGTGTTTTGTTTTATTTTTCATCAATGTTCCCAGAGAGACCAGTACTCTGAAATTCTTTTCTATTTACTTGAAAGAGTCCTCCCCACCTAAAAAAAGTTATATGTCAAAAATTGTCAGCTCTTTATGAATAGAAAAAGTATCGCTTCAAGACTTACCCACTTAAGATTTTATTGACCAGTTTATGTCAATAATAAACTGCTAGATTCTCTAGAAATGGCAATCTCAGTGTCTTTTCATTGAGTTTACAAAGAAACTGCAATTTACTTAATTTTACAATGGCTCCTCCTAGCACAAACAGATTGAAGGCTATCACTTTAGTTTACCAACAGGTACATTAAAATATTATGTGACATGTTTAATTCAGATGTCAGGTAAAGCTCATTCCTTTGGATATTAATGAAATTGTTTCTATTTTCTATGGATTATAGAGAATGAAATGTCTTAACAATTTTTTATGGATTTATAAAGATCTTTTGGAATTTTAGCTGTTCTCTTACTTAAGTTTAGGGATAGGCTAAGTGTCTTGATTGTCTTAGCCTGTTTTTAAATGCAAACACTGATAAGGAATTCAGTATATTTTATGTACAATGGATTATCAAAGGTTAAGGAGATAGGAGTGCATAACAACACCCACAACTTAAAACACCACATTTAAAATAACCTGTTCTAAACGCCTTACAGCCATTTCTTTGGTTTAGGTTTTATCGCCCTAATAGGCTGCCCAGTAATCCTTCCTTCTCTTCACTCTCTTACATACCCCCAACGTTTCTGTTCATATCCAGTAAAAGGCAATATTAAATCACCTTTTCCAGCATGGCTCCTGCAGAACTATACCTTCAGGGTCTCACCATCCACCTCCAAGAGGCTTAAAGAGGTATTTTCCCCAAACAAAGGCAGTTCTCTTCCTTAAGTCAGAATTCTGGAGCCAGCTGTTTAGGTAATTAAATTCTCAAACTCCACTCTATGCAAAGTGTGACACTGACTCAGATTGCTTGAAGGCAGTCCAGTATTCTTAAACTATTCTGAATATTTTAGTCCCTGAAATAATGATGGTAAATATATTACGGTTCCACTTCTCATCATTCAGTGTGAGGGTGCAGTTCCCCGGCCGTTTCCTTCTCTCATGACTATTAAAAAAGGGCATATCATTTGAGATACTGAAACATTTAAAGCTGTTTAATCTTTGAGCTTGTCTCCGTTAGAGTCAAAGTCAAATATTTCAAATTCTGAACCTAAGGTTGATCATTTCCTTTAGTGCTCTTATGCCTCTCAAGGTTCCAAATATTCAATGTTCATCTAGGCAATCTGAGTCAAGAATTCCAACACCATAATTTGTATTCAACATACATGTCAAATCAGGAGGGTTATACCATAGTATAAGTTTCTAATCCACCTGTATTGTCTTTATATGAGCGATGCTGAGTTTTGATCCAAAGTAATATCCAAACATTGACTAAATTAGCTTTAATATTGATCTACTGCCTTTTTTGTCATTAACATTTATACTTAATAGGGACTTATTTAATCCTGAAAATATTGGTAAAATGATTTTCAGTTGAATTGGTACATATAGCAACATATCCATAGTCTTCCGGGCAAGTTTCATTTCTTTCATTGAACACAGTAGACTGAAGAACATGAATTTAAAATTAATATTCTAAGATTACTATTGCCATAATTATCTGTACAGAGTTTTTTATAAATGCTTTCTCAATTATATATATGTCCACACTGTGAAGAAAAAGGCTATTGTAAATTTAAAGCCAAGTTTAAAACGTGATTCTTTCTGTTGCTGCTTGCTAATTAATTGTGCTTAATTATAATTCACTTTTAAACACAGTCATTATAAAAGAATAGTTAATTATTCCACATTGTGGAAGATTTGGGTATAAAGTAATGTATTCAAAGAATATAAAAATATTATGTTAACATAAATATTTTCCAAAGTGTGGGTAATTATGCTCTGTCACTGAAAACTTCATAAAATGACTTATTTTTGATATATATTATTGCAAAAAAAGTAAAATTTATGAAAATAATTTGAATTATTTATAATCTGTATTTTATACTATAAGGTCTTCAATTTTTCTGCTAAATGTGTGTGTATACATTTACAAATAATTATGATTGAAAGATAGTTGAGCTATCAAATACACAAACAATAACAATTGGAAAATAATGCAATACGCCATGACTTTTTAATGACTTTAATTAAACTGGAAAAAGAGATATTAGTGAAATGCTTTTATTAGAACTGACGTCATATATGGGAAATATTAAAATACATTGTGAAGGCTCTTTCTTGTATTATATCTTATATCACTGTCAGTTATTTTTGTTGCATGAAAACCACCCCAAAACTTAGTGGCTTAAAACAACAACCAGCATTTATTATTTTTCATATTTTTGCAATTTGGGTAGGGCTTTAGGGGAACAGCTTTTCTCTGCTCTGCATGCTATTGTCCTGGATGGCTTAACTGGGACTAGAGGATTTGAGATGTCTTCACTTACAAGTCTGGCACTTCAGATAGAGTAGTTGGAAGAGCTTCAGGAGTGGCTGAGACTCTCTCCGACAAGTGGTCTTCCATTATTCAGAAGTCTTACTAAACCTCTACAGGGAAGCGTGATGCCAAGAAAGCAAAAACTGAGGCAACCTGGTTTCTTAAGATCTAGACCTGGAACTAGCACAATGTTATTTCCGCCACATTCTCTTGGTCAAAATAAGTCAAAAACTCAACACAGATGCGAGAAGAGGGGAAATAGATTCCACCTCAATGATGGGAGGTACAACATGTATGTAGGAGCAAGGGCTGAGTAATTGACAGCCATCTCTGCAGCCATCTCCTACAATCACTATCAATATTAACACTTAAAGAGGGAGACATCATGACTCACAAGAATTTTCAATAGGTGACACTTCAGTTGTCAAATAAAAACCCAACATTTTTTATAAGCCTTCTGTGATTTAAGTTGTTGAGATGCCAAAATAAATTTGTAAAGTAACAACAAACATACTGAGATGTTGGTCAAGTTGATTGCCAACTAGAAACTAGTTAGCATAGGTTAATCAAATACTTCAGATTTTAGCCAGTTCAATTGTGTTACTGATCTATTCTAGGCACTGAATATTCCCATAAGAAGGACATACAAATATTAGAAGCAGTGAATGATGTGCTAATAGCCAAAATTATATGTCAATTATCACATTTTCAATTACCTATCACATTTGGCAATTAACATTTTGTTAATCATCCACTCTCCAGTTTGATGTGACTTTCTAAAGTAAGTAGCTTACCCTCTAACTCTGAAAAATTACTGTTTATCATTAGTGAATACATAATCAGTTCCTAAAATTTATATTTGATTTAGGACTGTCTTGTGATAATGAATTCACCTCAAGCAGGATTTGTCTAGAGTAGTGTATGTATGGGAGAGCAGACATTTTCAAGCAATGGTTTTGCAGTTTGGATGTCCTAACTATACAAACAGTATGCTGAAAATGGATTTGCAGACATTAAGAAAGCATTTCTAATGATGTTCATTTTGATAATCAGAGTGCTTTTCATAGAAGTATGTTCTCATAGCAATGTAAATAAAGCAGACTGTTATTTTGATCAATATAGAATCATATGAGCTGTGGTTTGTGAATAACTATCCAAATGTAGTCCTTCTTTGTGCATTTTGGCTAATGAAGTGTGGTGTGGTGGAAAGTACACAGATGTTTACAGATTTGAGTTCAAATCTTAGCCCATTCAATTATTAGTAGATTATTCAGCTGTTGCCATGCTAATGCTGCCTAACAAACCATCCCAAACCAATAACAACAAACATTTATTTGTTTAGTTCATGGGTCTACAGATCAAGGCAGTTTGGCTCTATAGGCTGTGATTGTCTGGGCAGCTCTGCTTCAAGCTGTGGTCAGGCTGGCCTCAACTCCTCACTGCAGGACAGGGTTAGGTCTATCCTCCATGGATAAGTGGCCACCAAAGATATTATTATCATGGTAAGTAGCAGAAAGGCAAAAGCAACCTAAACGATATAATACATTTAAAACCATTTTCAGGCCTTGCTCACATAATATCCACTTATTTTTCTGTGGCCAAAATTATGTGGTCAAATTCAAATGCGGCATAGAATGTACTACATCCCAAGAGGGAAGCAGGGAGGTAAGTGAATATTTGCTGAATAGTATTCTAATCTTTCACAGTAGCTATCCACATTTGAGTACTTTCCATATTGCCTTTGATTTCCAATGTTATCATTATCTGCAAAATGGGGGTAATAATAAAACATGATCAGAACTATGTGAGGATTAGCATGTTCCTGACACAAAATTGACTGGATAATCTGGTGGTGTCATTCAGTTCAATATGCATCTGTAGGGTAGAACAGATTTAGCTAAAATTGAAAGAAGTAAAATCTTGGATATTTTAAAGTTGCTGTCACCAATTAGTACATTTCATTTACTACTGTTAAAAATAAAGTTGACGTGAGGATATTAGTAAAAATTTACATAAAAATATTAAGTTCCATTTAGTACTGTTACAAAGTCATATTCCTTAGGTGTACGGCATTTATTCAGTGATATATCAGTAGATAAATTAACCAACAAGTTGACATTAAATACCCTGTTAAATTATGAAGTGGCCATTGCTGCAGAAAACTGGCAACAGATATAAGGGAGTTTCCCTCTAGCAGCTTCACATTTTTATATGGAGTCTAAAAACAAGGGAGTTTAAAACACAAATTAATGACATAGACAATTAAGTTGTAGAATTAGGGATGGCAAACATCTCAGTATCTTAGTAATAATTATGAAGAAACTCATAAAGGAAGAAGAAATGATGTAATAATTGAAGGACTGGACTTGAGTAAAGAAAATGGTTGGAAACTACTAGCTAGGAGAGTTCGCCCCTGCTATTACTATTACCACTGGCTTCATTTATAGAGCATCTACAGTTGTATCAAGCTCCATGATAGAACTTTACCTTCAGTGGTTTATTATATAGCAAACCTGGTGGTTGTCCCCAGTGAAGAAGACATTCACAGTTTAATCATTTTTAAAAATTCACTGGAAAAGGTAAGATTAGCATTAAAACCACAAGCCTGTTAAATTCCATCCCCTATGCAACACTCTCTCACATGGTATGACATACTTGGAAAAAGAAGAGAGTATATGTAGCATACCAGTAAAAAACAATAATTAAAAGGCAAGGTTGGCTCATATTATAAAGAACATTGGATCAGATTAAGGAATTTGAATGCTTTATGCCAATAAGGGGGACATTGGTAGATTTTGTTTGATGAGAACAGATTGTTAAAATGAAAGCAACATGACACATACACATTAGACCACATTGGAAATGTGGAGATTAGTTTAAAGGTTATGCAATAGTTCAGGTCTGTCAGTGAAGGGTGTGCAATAGGACATGAAAGAAATGAAACAGATACTATAAAGGCAGCATTAGCAGGTTTTCAAGAAAGAGAGTTCTACTATTTTTAATTACTCATTTAGTCATATTTTTAGATCACATCTTTCTTGTGATCATAACATACAACCAATAATTCCTTCTGTGTACAAATATGCCTTTCCTTAAGAGATTCCACTGGCTCACATACATTATTGCTGAAAGACAGAAGCAGATGTTAATGGAAGTGATGTTTAATGATCTGTGACCATATATACAAAGAATACAGGCAACATAGTCATCTGCTAACCACATCCTTGAAGCCTGCCAGTGCAACAGAATTCATGACCTTCAGATCTCAAGAACCAGCCTCTTCCCAGTGAGTTGAAAGTGCTCAGCTGGAAGAAGGGTGAAAAGAGAGAGTAAACATTGGAACAAGTGTGACATCTCCTTGTATTTGGGGTAAGTGATATACATGCAGTCTTCCCTTTACCTCCCATTTCCCCTGTAATTAGGGTGAGGTTTATTCTCAAGGTACAGAGCAGCTGGGGTTCACAGAAGGGCATTACCACACTTGGGTGCCAATCTTTAATGATGCAGCACTGCCTATGTATACAGACTTCAAGGCCATCAGCAAATATGTGAAAAATATCACAACAAGCTTCCATGAAAAGCATCAATAATGATTCAATGACCAAAGGAAGACACTCACTTTGTAATCAAATATAACCTATAGACAGCTAAGCACATGTGGCATGGTTTATGAGTGAAGCTGGGGTTCACAGAAAGGCAGTCTATACACTATTTGGAGGATAAATCATCAAATAATAGATTTCATTAATTATCATTACTAAAATGAAATTTTCACTTTGATACTTAGAGTCACCAAGAAAGAAGCTGTTCCAAATTCTTAGGCATCCTGCCATGGTATGATTAATTTTACAGTCCATGTATGGATGTTTAGTTAGAGAAGAGAACTGTAGATATCTTGTACAATCCATCAAAATAGTAGGAATAAACTGTCACTCCCAACCTGAGCCGTGAACATGTTTATTTATGAGCCACTCTGCTGAAATTGAAAAAAAGAAAATCAAGACAGCAATGCAAAGAGAGGCATCTGAAATGTTTTCTGCTAAGTAACAGCTAATGGAAAGCATGCAACGAAGAAAGCCTGGCTTATTTCCAGTTTTCAAAAAGGTTGAAAACATTGGCTCAAAGAGTTTCGATTTCTTATTTGACCCACCTTAGGACTCTTAAAATGTAATGTGCTTGTCTTTAAATTTTGGCTAGTTATGTTTTAAAGGGTAGTGAAATCTCTTCTCTAAATCTGTATTTTTAGCATGAATTAAGAAAAACTGAAAATAAATGCATCAACTTGATAAGCGACCATCTTTGTGGAATACTACTATGATGATTTCTTATCTCTCTAGTTATCTGTACTTGTTTTCATTTCTTCTGCATTATAGATTGTATTTATATTTCAACATAAAGTCATCACCTTTTCTTTCATTTATTTGTAGCTTTATCCCCATTTCTAGGGACAATAAGTAAAGCAAGGTAGGGGCTCAGTAAATATCTGTTGAATGAATGGATGAACAAATACACTACTTTTATTTACAGCCATAATTATATTAGTGCCATATTATATGTTATAGCCATAATATATATAGCCATAATTATATTATAGCCATAATTATATTGAGCTATAAACTATATAAATTAACATAAACTTTGAAAATGTACCTTAAAATATCCACTTATTACCAGTACTTGGGAGAAATTTCAACAAACTACAAGGACAAACTAGAAACAAAAAAAAAGTTAAAGAGTAGCTTTAACTTATGCAAAAAGAAGAACCATGTATACTTAAAAATACTTAATCATCTTATTAAATAACATTGCATCAAGGGGAAGACAAAACTTTTCATTACTGCAGTATATTACATATCAAAACTCATGAGATGCTGTCAAAGAGATTTTTTTGATGAGGAAGACAACTTATTAAATGTCGATCTCAGATGTTAAAAAAGAAGTACGAGAAGATAATAAACACAAATTGGTGTATAAGAATGCTTATGTTTTTTGCACATTGATTTTGTATCCTGAGACTTTACTGAAGTTGCTTATCAGCTTAAGGAGATTTTGGGCTGAGATGATGGGGTTTTCTAGATATACAATCATGTCATCTGCAAACAGGGACGATTTGACTTCCTCTTTTCCTAATTGAATATCCTTTATTTCTTTCTCCTGCCTGATTGCCCTGGCCAGAACTTCCAACACTATGTTGAATAGGAGCGGTGAGAGAGGGCATCCCTGTCTTGTGCCAGTTTTCAAAGGGTATGCTTCCAGTTTTTGCCCATTCAGTATGATATTGGCTGTGGGTTTGTCATAAATAGCTCTTATTATTTTGTGATACATCCCATCAATACCTAATTTATTGAGAGTTTTTAGCATGAAGGGTTGTTGAATTTTGTCAACGGCCTTTTCTGCATCTATTGAGATAATCATGTGGTTTTTGTCTTTGGTTCTGTTTATATGCTGCATTACATTTACTGATTTGCATATGTTGAACCACCCTTGCATCCCAGGGATGAAGCCCACTTGATCATGGTGGATAAGCTTTTTGATGTGCTGCTGGATTCGGTTTGCCAGTATTTTATTGAGGATTTTTGCATCAATGTTCATCAGGGATATTGGTCTAAAATTCTCTTTTTTTTTGCGTCTCTGCCAGACTTTGGTATCAGGATGATGTTGGCCTCATAAAATGAATTAGGGAGGATTCCCTCTTTTTCTATTGATTGGAATAATTTCAGAAGGAATGGTACCAGCTCCTCCTTGTACCTCTGGTAGAATTTGGCTGTGAATCCATCTGGTCATGGACTTTTTTTGGTTGGTAAGCTATTAATTATTGCCTCAATTTCAGAGCCTGTTATTGGTCTATTCAGAGATTCAACTTCCTCCTGGTTTAGTCTTGGGAGAGTGTATGTGTCCAGGAATTTATCCATTTCTTCTAGATTTTCTAGTTTATTTGCGTAGAGGTGTTTATAGTATTCTCTGATGGCAGTTTGTATTTCCATGGGATCGGGGTTGATATCTCCTTTATCATTTTTTATTGTTTCTATTTGATTCTTCTCTCTTTTCTTCTTTATTAGTCTTGCTAGCGGTCTATCAATTTTGTTGATCTTTTCAAAAAACCAGCTCCTGGATTCATTGATTTTTTGAAGGGTTTTTTGTGTCTCTATCTCCTTCAGTTCTTCTCTGATCTTAGTTATTTCTTGCCTTCTGCTAGCTTTTGAATGTGTTTGCTCTTGCTTCTCTAGTTCTTTTAATTGTGATGTTAGGGTGTCAATTTTAGATCTTTCCGGCTTTCTCTTGTGGGCATTTAGTGCTATAAATTTCTCTCTACACACAGCTTTAAATGTGTCCCAGAGATTCTGGTATGTTGTGTCTTTGTTCTCATTGGTTTCAAAGAACATCTTTATTTCTGCCTCCATTTCGTTATGTACCCAGTAGTCATTCAGGAGCAGGTTGTTCAGTTTCCATGCAGCTGAGCGGTTTTGAGTGAGTTTCTTAATCCTGAGTTCTAGTTTGATTACACTGCGGTCTGAGAGGCAGTTTGTTATAATTTCTGTTCTTCTGCATTTGCTGAAGAGTGCTTTACTTCCAACTATGTGGTCACATTCTTATACACCAATAACAGACAAACAGAGAGCCAAATCATGAGTGAACTCCCATTCACAATTGCTTCAAAGAGAATAAAATACCTAGGAATCCCACTTACAAGGGATGTGAAGGACCTCTTCAGGGAGAACTAAAAACCACTGCTCAACGAAATAAAAGAGGACACAAGCAAATGGAAGAACATTCCATGCTCATGGATAGGAAGAATCAATATCATGAAAATGGCCATACTGCCCAAGGTAATTTATAGATTCAATGCCATCCCCATCAAGCTACCGATGACTTTCTTCACGGAATTGGAAAAACTACTTTAAAGTTCATATGGAACCAAAAAAAGAGCCCGCATTGCCAAGACAATCCTAAGCCAAAAGAAAAAAGCTGGAGACATCACGCTACCCGACTTCAAACTATACTACAAGGCTACAGTAACCAAAACAGCATGGTACTGCTACCAAAACAGAGATATAGACCAATGGAACAGAGCAGAGCCCTCAAAATAATACCACACATCAACCATCTGATCTTTGACAAACCTGACAAAAACAAGAAATGAGGAAAGGATTCCCTATTTAACAAATGGTGCTGGGAGAACTGGCTAGCTATATGTAGAAAGCTGAAACTGGATCCCTTCCTTACACCTTATACAAAAATTAATTCGAGATGGATTAAATACTTAAATTTTAGACCTAAAACCATAAAAACCGTAGAAGAAAAACTAGGCAATACCATTCAGGAAATAGGCACGGGCAAGGACTTCATGACTAAAACACAAAAAGCAATGGCAACAAAAGCCAAAATTGACAAATGAGATATAAATAAACTAAAGAGCTTCTGCACAGCAAAAGAAACTACCATCAGAGTGAACAGGCAACCTACAGAATGGGAGAAAATTTTTGCAATCTACTCATCTGACAAAGGGCTGATATCCAGAATCTACAAAGAACTCAAACAAATTTACAAGAAAAAAACAAACAACCCCATCAAAAACTGGGTGAAGGATATAAACAGACACTTTTCAAAAGAAGACATTTATGCAGCCAAAAAACACACGAAAAAATGCTCATAATCACTGGCCATCAGAGAAATGCAAATCAAAACCACAATGAGGTACCATCTCACCCCACTTAGAATGGCGGTCATTAAAAAGTCAGGAAACAACAGGTGCTGGAGAGGATGTGGAGAAATAGGAACACTTTTACACTGTTGGTGGGACTGTAAACTAGTTCAACCATTGTGGAAGACAGTGTGGCAATTCCTCAAGGATCTAGAACTAGAAATACCATTTGACCCAGCCATCCCATTACTGGGTATACACCCAAAGGATTATAAATCATGCTGCTATAAAGACACATGAACAAGTATGTTTATTGCGGCACTATTCACAATAGCAAAGATTTGGAACCTACCCAAATGTCCATCAATGATAGACTGGATTAAGAAAATGTGGCACATATACACCAGGGAATACTATACAGCCATAAAAAGGATGAGTTCATGTCCTTTGTAGGGACATGGATGAAGCTGGAAACCATCATTCTCAGCAAACTATCGCAAGGACAAAAAAACAAACACTGCATGTTCTCACTCATAGGTGGGAATTGAACAATGAGAACACCTGGACACAAGAAGGGGAACATCACACACCAGGGCCTGTTGTTGGGTGGGGAGAGTGGGGAGGGAAAGCATTAGGAGATATACCCAATGTAAATGACGAGTTAATGGGTGCAGCACACCAATATGGCACATGTATATATAAGTAACAAACCTGCATGTTGTGCATATGTACCCTAGAACTTAAAGTACAAAAGAAAAGAAACACAAATTAAGAAGCAAAAGAAAAAAGAGCTAATAATACATGATCTGATACTTTCCAAAAAGATGACAAGCAGAAAATAATGGCAAAAAGAGAAAACCTTGGAAATGCTTTCAGAGAAAATAAAAATAATTACTTGGCCAGAGTAATTAAAAAGAGTTAGTAATCACTGACAGTACATAAAAAATCATGAGAAAATACCCCATACACGATGAAAAAAGATCGAAAATAATGAAAATGCATATTTGTTTTAAACAACTACTTAATGGATTACCAAAGAGGTAGAAAACCTGGGAGTTAACCAGTAGCAACCAACAACTATGAAATAGGAAAACTATCAAAGAAACATCAAACCAAATGCAGCCAGATTCTTATGATGCTTCTGGTAAATGCTATCACAACTTCAGCAAGTAAATAATATGTATTGCACTGAAACATATCCCAGAAAACAGAAAATTATAAAATTCCCCCTAATAACAACGATGTTAGAATTAGCAAAGCTAAATAATTACATAGAAAGCTAAAACCTATATTTTGGCAACTTATGTTTTACACCTTCTACCAAAACATTCTTTCTTAGAATGTTTTAAAGCCGAATCCTTCTCATCACTCAGGTTTTAACTCAAATTGCAAGTCCTCAGAGTCCTTCCTTAAACACTCTAAGGTTATGCTGCCTCAGGCACTCTCTAACCAATTCAATCAATTTTATTTTATTTGTCATATGATGATGTGAACTGATTTTACTTTCACTTTTTAAACATGTTTATTGTGTGTTTCTGACCACTGGAGGGTTAGCTCCATGAAGGCACAGCTGAAACCTCAATGTTTTGAACACTGCTTACCACATAGCAGGCACTCAATAGATATTTGTAAATGTTGTTATATCTCACTTAGGAATACAGATATAAAATCCTATAATTTAAATATTAATACAGTGCTTCATTTTAAGTATAATAATTATATATACTTCATATGACCATAACTTAAATACCACAGTGTATTAAAGAGATTCTAGATCATAAACTGATTATAACATTCTACAATATAGGAAGGTTGGTTCAACATTAGGAAATCCATAAATTTTATTACTTCCATACACATGTTAAAACACGTGATTATCGGGGTAGATATTTTACAAACATTTTATAAAATTAAGCAAATATTCGTACTTGAACATTTAGTAAAATAGCTGATAATGACAAAGGTAACTGAGTAATGTGTAAGCAGAAATGAGGTTTGCCGTGCTACTTATAGCCCTGTGTAACATGCCAATAGATTATGGGTGGTAACGTGGTCTGGGAACCTCTGATATTGACCAGGAGAGCCAGCAGAAAGGGTTGAACTCTAATTTAGCTCAGTTTGGTTCTCTTGTTTGAAGTTCCATGTGTAGCTATGCACTCTGGAAATATTAAGCAGAATCGATGGAAAAAGTTATCAGTTGGACTAATACTCTATAAAGCCCACACAAGCTTTGTGAAAGCTGGGCTAGAATGCATAGTCCGGCCTAAAAAAAATATGAAGGCCCCAAACTCTGTGAACATGCACAAGGTCGAGGACACCCAAAAGAGTCCAAGAATTTTTTACATGCGAACACAAGCAACAGAAAAAGAAAGCAAAATAACCATGCCTTCTGGGACAGAGGACTTAAGCTTAAATCTCCGAATTTCAACATTAATAATGGGGACAAAACATGCCAATTGGTAATGATATAATATTTTAAGAACCTAATGTATTTTTAAAACTTCAAGCTAGAAGAAAAATAGAACTGGAAATTGCTGAGACAGAATTGAGTCCAGAAGCAGACCAAATTTTAAAATAACATGATAAATAGAATATTTCAAATCAGCAGAGGAAATACGGCATTAGGACAGATGACTAGCCATTTGTAAAAAATAGTGAAATCACTCCTGTACTCCTTATACCTGAATAAATTCCATATTCATTTCTAAATAAAACATGAAAATGACATTATTAAAAGTTCTAGAGGAAAAATGAAAATGGAAATAAAACTAATCTTATGAGTCTCAAAATTGCTTCTAATTCTGATCAAAAGCCAGAAAGAGAAATTCCACAAAATTAAAGAATAAACACTACTTGTGATAAAAATATGACAGCATGTTTAACAAATGACAAATTGAAGCAAGTGTGCAATGCTTGACAGTCTACTATAAGCTGCTTCTATAAGTCATTATGAAAAAATTACTTTCTGATGGAAAATAGTAAAACAATGTAAACATGTAATTAAAAAATAAATGATTGATAATAAATTAATCATAATCATTAATTATAATCATCAAATAGGCACAAATTATAATAAAGATAACATTTTGCCCATCAGGAGCAACTTTTAAAATTCCAATAATAATGATATAATAATAATCATAATGATGGGAAAATCAAGTTTTAAAATAAATTGTTAATGTTTTTGCATACATTCATAAGTAGACATCTTAAAATATATCACAATTATGAAATGAGCATATGTTGAAATTCTACTTGTGTGATTTCTCTCAGTTAAATAATGTAACAAGTGGACAGCCACATGTGTAAAGCAATCCATACCCCTGCTATTTTTCAATAGAACAAATGAGATACAATTGAAATGTCCATCAGTATTGAATCATTTATCGAAATATTGGTGTATCTTTGGAGAAGATTCTATGCAGGTAAGACACACAGAGAGATTAATGTGTTCATTTTCCAATGTGCCTCTGTACATACAAAAAATCAAAACTATACACAAAGTATTAACATTTCATGCATATTCAGTAATGCCTTGATCTTCATTTTCTTCCTTTATGTATTGAATTATATATAATGACAAACATAAATATCCTTAATTATAAAAAAATAAAACTAGTAATAAAATGGATAATGAAAGGTTTGTCTTCAAGATATTAAGTTATAGTACAAAGTTTTGATAATTTATAGAATGTGGTACTGGCATAAGAATCAACATAGAGGTCAACAAGAATTGATATTGTTACTATTTAGATATAGATAATTATATTTAGAATATATTAAAGGATACATCACAGATAAATGGGAAACGGGATTTATTATTCAACAAATGGTATAGAGAAATATGTATTCCTTAGAGGAAAAATCAGCTTTGATCATATCTTTCATTTTATTTTAAGTTCTGGGATACATGTGCAGGATATGCAGGTTTGTTACACAGGTAAGCATATGTCATGGTGTTTTGCTGCACCTATCAACCCATCACCTAGGTATTAAGCCCAGCAAGCATTAGCTACTTTTCCTGATGCTCTCCCTCCCTGCACCCCTCACCGACATGCCCAGTGTGTATTGCTCCCCTACCTGTGTCCATGCGTTCTCATTGTTCAGCTCCCATTTGTAAGTGAGAAAAAGTGGTGTTTGGTTTTTTTGTTCCTGTATTAGTTTGCTGAGGATAATGGCTTCCAGTTCCATCCATGTGCCTGCAAAGGACATAATATTGTTTCTTTTTATGGCTGCATAGTATTCCATGGTGTATATGTACCACATTTTCTTTATCCAGTCTATCATTGATGGGCATTTGGGTTGATTACATGTCTTTGCTATTGTGAGCAGTGCTCCAATGAACATATGTGTGCATGTATTTTTATAATAGAATGATTTATATTCTTTTGTGTATATACTCATTAATGGGACTGCTAGGCCGAGTGGTATTTCTGGTTCTAGGTCTTTGAGGAATTGCCACATTGGTTTCCACAATGGTTGAACTAATTTGCATTCCCACCAACAGTGTAAAGGTGTTCCTACTTCTCCACAGCCTTGCCAGCATCTGTTGTTTCTTGGATTTTTTAATAATCACCATTCTGATTAGCATAAGATGGTATCTCTTTGTGGTTTTGATTTGCATTTCTCTAATGATCAGTGATATTGACCTTTTTATTCATATGTTTGTTGGCCACATAAATGTCTTCTTTCAAAAGTGTCTATTCATCTGTTTTGCCCACTTTTTGACGGGGTTGTTTTTTTCTTGAAAATTTGTTTAAGTTCCCTGTAGATTCCAGATGTTAGACCTTTGTCAGATGAATAGATTGCAAAAATTGTCTCCCATTTTGTAGGTTGCCTGTTCAACTCTGCTGATACTTTATTTTGCTGTGCAGAAGCCCTTTAGTTTAATTAGATTCCATTTGTCAATTTTTGCTTATGTTGCAATTGTTTTTGAAATTTTTATCCTGAAATCTTTGCCCATGCCTATGTCCTGAGTGTTATTGCCTAGATTTTCTTGTGGGATTTTTATAGTTTTGGGTTTTATGTTTAAGTCTTTAATCTTTCCTGAGTTCATTTTTGTATAAGTTATAAAGAAGGGGTCCTGTTTTAATTTTCTGCATATGGCCAGCCAGTTATCCCAGCACCATTTATTAAACAGGGAATTTTTTCATAATTACTTGTTTTTGTCATGTTTGTCAAAGATAAGATGGTTGTAGATGTGCAGTCTTACTTCTGAGTTCTCTACATTGTTCCATTGGTCTATATGTCTGTTTTTGAACCAGGACCATGCTGTTTTGGTTACTGTAGCTTTGAACTATAGTTTGAAGTTGGGTAGTGTGATGCCTCCAGCTTTGTTCTTTTTGCTTAGGATTGTCTTGACTATATGGGCTCTTTTCTGATTCCATATTAATTTTAAAGTAGTTTTTTTTCTAATTCTGTGAAAAATGTCAATGGTAGTTTGATGGGAATACCATTGAATCTATATATTACTTTGGGCAATATGGCCATTTTCATGATATTGATTCTTCCTATCCATAAACGTGGAATGCTTTTCCATTTGTTTGTGTCCTCTCTAATTTCCTTGAGCAGTGGTTTGTAGTAATCCTTGAAGAGACTTTTCACTTCCCTTGTTAGCTGTATTCCTGGGTATTTTATTGTCTTTGTAACAATTGTGACTGGGAGTTCATTCATGATTTGGCACTCTGCTTCTCTGTTGTTGGTGTATAGGAATGCTTTTGATTTTTGCACACTGATTTTGTATCCTGAGACTTTATTGAAGTTGCTTACCAGCTAAAGAAGCTTTTGGGCTGAGATGATGGGGTTTTCTAGATGTAGGATCATGCCATCTGACAACAGAGAGAGTTTGACTTCCTCTCTTCTTATCTGAATACTCTTTATTTCTTTCTGTTGCCTAATTGCCTTTACCAGAGCTTCCAATACTATGTTGAATAGAAGTGGTGAGAGAGGGCATCCTTGTCTTTTGCCAGTTTTCAAGGGGAATGCTTCCAGCTTTTGCCCATTCAGTATGATATTGGCTGTGGATTTATCATAAATGCCTCTTATTATTGAGGTATGTTCCATCAATACTTAGTTTATTGAGAGTTTTTAACATGAAGGGATGTTGAATTACATTGAAGGTTTGTGCTGTGTCTATTGAGATAATAATGTGGTTTTTGTCTTTATTTCTGTTTATGTGATGAATTATATCTATTGATTTGTGTATCTTGAACCAGCCTTGCATCCTGGAGATGAAGCCTACTTGATTGTGGTGGACAAGGTTTTTGATGTGCTGATAGATTTGGTTTGCTAGTATTTTATTGAGGATTTTTACATCAATGTTCATCAGGGATATTTGTATGAAGTTGTCTTTTATTGTTAGCTCTTCTTTTTGAATTGAACTCTTTACCATTAGGTAATGATCTTCTTTGTCTTTTTTGATGTTTGTTAGTTTAAAGTCTGTTTTGTCAGAAACTAGGATTGCAACCCCTGATTTTTTCTGCTTTCTACTTGCTTGGTAGATTTTCCTCCATCCCTTTATTTTGAGCCTATATGTGTTTTTGCACAACAGATGGATCTCTTAAATAGAGCACACCAATAGGTCTTGACCCTTTATTCGGCTTTCCATTCTGTGTCTTTTAATTGGGGCATTTAGCCCATTTACATTTAAAGTTGATATTATTATGTGCGAATTTGATCCTGTCATCATGATGTTAGCTGGTTATTTTGCAGATATGTTGATGTAGTTGCTTCACAGTGTCATTGTTAGTGTAGTTCAGTGTGTTTTTGTAGTGGCTGGTAACTGTTTTTCCTTTCCATTTCTTGTGCTTCCTTCAGGAGCTTTTGCAAGACAGGCCCAGTGGTGACTAATTCCCTCAGGTTTTATTGTCTGAAAAGTCTTTTGTTTCTCCCTCACTTATGAAGCTTAGTTTGGCCAGATATGAGATTCTGGCTTGGAAATTCTTTTCTCTAAGAATACTGAGTATTGGCCCCCAATCTCTTTGGGCTTGTATAGTTTCTGTTGACAGGTCTGCTGTTATTCTGATGGGCTTCCCTTTGTAGGTGTCCTGGCCTTACTCTCTGGCTCCCCTTAAATTTTTTTTCCTTCATTTCAACCTTGGAGATCTGAAGATTATTTGTCTTGGGGTTGATCTTCTCTGAGAGTATTTTACTGAGGTTCTCTGGATTTCCCAAATTTGAATGTTAGCCTGTCTTGCTAGGTTGGAAAGTTTTCCTAGGTGATATCCTGAAGTATGTTTTCCAATTTGGTCCCATTCTCCTTGTCTCTTTCAGATACCCCAATCAGTCATAAGGCTTTGGTTCTAATCTTACACTATGTACCGCATTTTGGGGTAAGAAATTATATCTGAAAATGAAATATTGGAAAATTGAGGTGACTTTTTTTTATCTGTTTGGGGGAAATGAAGTATTTACTAAATATGAGAGCAGAGGAAGGAATTATAAAGGAACTAAGTTTATCTAAGTACATCAAAATTTAAAACATTGTGTGCTGAGAAAATACACTTTTAGAAATGAAGTATTTAGTCAAACATTGTCATGCGAAGGCAGAACAAAGGCATTTTATTTATGAAAAGTCTATTCCATTCTGGCACCTTTCTTCCGAAGGTACTGAGGATATATTCAAACAAACAAAGGAATACAACAAACATGACGCAGTTACAAGATCCAAGATTAAGTTGATTGAATCCTTTAGATCACCAGTGTATGCCAAAAGATCAGACTTTGAGAGGAAGAAGTCCCACAAGATAGTTATTATGATAGATACATTAGGAGAAACAAGGTGTAAAAATGGCACAAAATACTGGAGAGGAGAAACAGGTAATCAGAAACTTCAGAAAAAAATTTAAAAAAATTGTAATTAATTTAAATTAATTGTAATTAATTTAAAAAACTGTAATTGAAAGCCAGAGATTAATTTTAGGGAAGCCAGTCCAAGAAAAAGCAGACAGGCTTTGGGTTTCAAGAAGAAAAATAGAATGAAGTAGGTATTGTAAAATAAAATAGAATCAGATAGTTATAAACATGAATATTATTATAGTTGTAGAGAAGAAAACAGTTTAATTTTTCCCAGAAAAACAAAAGAAAGGCAATTAGCAACTCCAAGAGAAACATACGATTCAAGAAAAGCCTGATGCAAATGCAAAAGAAAGCAAAAAGTATAATTTTAGGCACCTGTCAGGCTTTAACAATGAAGAATCCTTTGCGTGCACCAGGGTTGTAACATTTAAAGCAAAGAAGAGGAAGAGTGTTTGTAGAAAAATATATGGTTCTGTAACGAATTGTACTGTGTAATCCTAATCACATAAAAATATGTTCTTAATCAAAGAATAATTTCAATTTTAGAACCAACTTCTAGATAAAGCAAGAAATATTTAATAATATGCAAAATATGGAACTAAGTGAAGAAGGATAATGAGATGACAGAGTTCTTGTTTATTTACTAATTACAGTAGGAGGGAATCAAGTATTTACTATCCATAGGTTTAAGGAGAGGTTTTAAAGATCAAATAATAAGCAACAGAGAAAATAAAGACTGTATACAAAACTAATTGGAGTAAGAGATGGAAGTGGAAGAGGATGCAAATAATAAAATTCTTCATTTATCAAGGATTCAATTGATGAGATTTATTATTGGTAAATTAAACATCTAGACGTGAACACATAAATAAATAAAAACAGAAATGGCAGAAAAGTGATCCTGAAGTTTGGGAGGAATAGGCATAAATCAATTACAGCTCAGGTTAAAAATGTAAACTTCCATCTTATCATAGCCCTATAAATAAAGTTAAAAAGTAAGAGACATACTAGGAAAATATTTGCAACATACAGGATATTTCAGGGTTCAAAACATAAGTGTTATAAATATATAAGAAAAACATGAATATATCAATTTTTTAAAAGAAAGGGAATCTAAATTGGTAACTAACAAGAAGAAATGAGAAATCCTTTAACATTATAATTAGACAGTAGACATTTACAATAGATAATAAAGTTAACTAAAACTAGTTTTTAAAGTTATTTTCTTTTCATAGAGACAAGTGTAAACGTTTAATAACTTTGAACTTAGCTCAAATTGTATAACTTAAATTAAACTGCAATGTATTTTCAAGAATTGTATAAGACTTACTGGTAAGTAACTAGATAGATTTATTTAATCATTTATATGCTAAACTCTTTATTCATAAATATAATGAAATAGTTTCTGAAAAAATGATCACAAATTAGTAGAGGTTTAATAAACAAAGCTATTGGTTATTTAGAAACTTGCATTTACTTCTTTATGCTTAATTATAGATACAGAATTTCTTCAGAGACACTTAATATATATTTACACATTTAAAAAATTAATACATTTATTTTATTTTCATGAAAATTTGACATGAAGATCCTAGTAATTTTGTTCTGGTACTTATTCTGTGGAATTCATCAAGCGAAGGAAAGATACAAGGTTTTTAAATTCAATTTCAGTGTATTTTAATTAAATCAGTAGAATATATCTGTTATAGGCACACATAAAGACTTGAATTTTGCTATAATATCATTTATTGTCACAAAGATTTTTATATAGGCATATCTGTTGCAAACCTCAAAAAAAGAGCCTTAGCTAATCATTGAGATGGTAGTCTCAGACCATGTACCACCAGGGAAATGTTATATTGTTTCCCACATACAACCATTTCTTCACTAAAAATACAAAAGTTGATTACTTAATAAACAAGAAGTGTAAGTGCCTGAATTTTTCAGAAAATAAAAATCATTTGTTTTCTTCTAGTGGAAAGAAAGATAGAATGGGATGCCTGTAAGTGCAAAATTAAAATAGATTGAGGCCAATTTCAACAGAAAATTTAAGAAGTGCTAGAGTTTGAAATGTACTCTCTAGGCAAAAGGAAACAGTGGTTTCTTCGGTGAGGAAATTATAAATTAGGTCTATGCTTTCAAGAGAGTATTTCAAGACATGCTCTGCAAATTAAGCCTTCTTTGATAAAACAATCTAAGAAATGCATTTTAAGTTTACAGACATTGTTTGGATAATCACAATGAGTTTTATAAAAAGGTCAACATGATGTTCTTTGCAGGGACATGGTTGGAATGGGAGGCCATTATCCTTAGCAAACTAATGCAGAAACAGAAACCAAACACTGCATGTTTTCACTTATAAGTGGAAGCTAAATGATGAGAACATATGGACACATAGAGGGGAATAACACACACTGGGACCTTTCAGAGGGTGGAAGGTGGGAAGAGGGAGAGGATCAGGAAAAATAATTAATGAGTACTAGGCTCACTACCTGGGTGATGAAATAATCTTTACAATAAACCTCCATGACACAAATTTACCTATGTAACAAACATCCACATGTACCCCTGAACATAAAAGTTTTAAAAAAGGAAATGCAAATCAAAACCACAATGAGACACCACCTCACAGCAGTCAGAATGGCAATTATTAGATCGTCAAGAAACAATAGATGCTGGTGAGGCTGTGGAGAAATAGGAATGCCTTTACCCTGTTGGTGGGAATGTAAATTAGTTCAACCATTGTGGAAGAAAGTGTGGCTATTCCTCTAGAACCAGAAATAACATTTGACCCAGCAATCTCATTACTGGGTATATATCCAAAGGAAAATAAATCATTCTACTGTAAAGACACCTGCACTCATATGTTTATTGCAACACTATTTACAATAGCAAAGACATGGAACGAATCCAAATGCCCATCAATGATAGACTGGATAAAGAAATGTGGTACATACACACCATGGAATACTATGCAGCCATAAAAATGAATGAGGTCATGTCCTTTGCAGGGACATGGATGAAGCTGGAAGACATCATACTCAGCAAACTAACACAGAAAAAGAAAACAAAACACTGTATGTTCTCACTCATAACTGGGAGTTGAACAATAAGAACACATGGGCACAGGGAAGTGAACAACACACACTGAGGCCAGTCAGAAGGTGGGAGCTAAGGGAAGGGAGAGTATTAGGACAAATAGCTAATGCATGAAGGGCTTAAAACCTAGACGAAAGGTTGATAGGTGCAGCAAACCACCATGGCACATGCATACCTACGTAACAAACCTACGCTTTCTGCACTTGTATCCCAGAACTCAAAGTATAATTTAAAATAAATTAATTAAAAATTTTAAAAGTTTTGTAAAAGGCTGAAAATTCGTGCAGTAAAAAGTCAAAGACTTGCTTAGCTTTGTATAACTCATCTTTAGCCAAATATATTTTATTATAAATTAGTTTTAGGAATAATATTGAATCTTCTAAATTATCTTCAGAAACAACTATTTTTAAATGTTGTCAATGTATTCTACAATGTAGTCTGATGTACACAGCAATAAAAGTCTTTACGCGTCATTCTTATGGTTTGCCAAACAGATTTATTTTTAGAAATTTCCTGCAATAAGTCTCACTTCTTGATCTAAGTTCACTTTTCATGTAGAAAATTAGTAAACTTTAAAACATCTTGAATTAATTTTTGTATAAGATTTAAAGAAAGGGTCCGGTTTTAGTTTTCTGCATATGGCTAGCCAGTTTTTCCAGCATCATTTATTAAGTAGGGAATCCCTTCCCCATTTCTTGTTTTTGTAAAGTTTGTCGAAGATCAGATGGTTGTAGATGTGTGGTGTTATTTCTGAGGTCTCTGTTCTGTTCCATTGGTCTATATATTTGTTTTGGTACCAGTACCATGTTGTTTTGATTACTGTAGCCTTGTAGTATAATGTGAAGTCAGGTAGCTTAGTTCTTTTTGCTTGGCTATATGGGCTCTTTTTTTGGTTCCATATGAAATGTAAAGCAGTTTTTTCTAATTCTGTGAAGAAAGTCAATGGTAGCTTGATATAAATAGCATTGAATCTGTGAATTACTTTGGGCAGTACGACCATTTTCATGACATTGATTCCTCCTACCCATGAGCATGGAATGTTTTTCCATTTGTTTGTGTCCTCTCTTATTTCCTTGAGCAGTGATTTGTAGTTATCCTTGAAGAGGTCCTTCACTTCCCTTTTAAGTTGTTGCAGGGACATGGATGAAGCTGGAAGCCATCATTCTCAGCAAACTAACACATGAACAGAAAATCAAACACCACATGTTCTCACTTATAAGTGGGAATTGAACAATGAGAACACATGGGCACAAGAAGGGGAACATCACACACTGGAGCCTGTCAGGTGATGGGGAGCAAAGGGAGGGAGAGCATTAGGAAAAATACCTAATGCATGCGGGGCTTAAAACCCAGATGACGGGTTGATAGGTGCAGCAAACCACCATGGCACATGTATACCTATGTAACAAACCTGCACATTCTGCACATGTATCCTGGAAATGAAAGTAAAATTTTAAAAAATTAAAAAAAATAAAATTAGTAAGCTTAGTTATTATGTATATACAAAAGTAAATTCCAACAGGTTAATGCATATCTAAAAGGTACAAGAATTATTTTAAAATAGTAAATAGCTTTTTTTCTCTCTATGAGATTTGCTCTAGACTAGTAATTCCCTTAACAGAGTTAATAATTAACTTTCAAAACCAAAACTAAAGATAATTTTTATTTTAATGTTGCTATGCATGTAAGTCCATGGAAATTATTTTTGAGTCTTCAGTCAGATTCCATATAATCACCACCTCCCCTTAAGAAATAATAAAAGGAATTCACAATGACTAAAATATACCTATTTCATATAAACTAAACTACAATTTAGAATTTCTGAAAGATTTCATTCATACCTTTTACACAGAATTGATTTTGTGAGAGTAAAAGAGCTATTTTACTAAATCTCCCTGAGTAAAGCACTGTTCACACAGGCAGAATCCGAAAAGAAAGATTAACATCTTTGGACGTCGTGTTTGAAATACATCTTAGCCTATTGACAATTCTGCCTGACAGAGCTTTTCGACCACCTAATGAATTAGGAGAATGAACATGGCCTTGAAAAGTTAGAAACTCTCCTCTTTTGGAAAAGTCATATTCACAACGACCTGTCATCTCACATTCTAAAACTCCCTCTCAGTGGAAGTTCTCCTGGGTCTTTATTTTCTGTATTAGAGGAGACCAAACTCATTATGCTATTTAACACCTTGAACTAGACAGCAACTTGGCACAGAAAAGAGCAGCCGGTGTTATATTTGCCATTAAATACAAGCACCTTTTAAACTATTCAGAAAGCAATTTTATTAAGCAAAAGGCATATTATTGGCTTAAGGCCATTTACTATAAATATTTTTTGGTCAGGATCAATTGCTGTAGAACATCTTGAATAATGCTAAAGGAACATAAAACAAGATCTGGATGTCATAAGATATAAAAGATTACATAAACCTTAGGAATTAAAGTTAATTTATTTCTAAATCATACCTTGTGTGTGACCTGGGTATTGTTAAAATAAACTTCATAGATTCAAACCAAAATGTACTAAGAAGGTTGGGTTTATGCAATGTATAGGACGTGCAAATTTCCCTCTTCTCTAGTGCACTCAAAGTAGAATCCATGAAAAGCGAATCAATTTTTGGCTCAAGAGAGAATGTGCCTTTCCCTTCAAATTTGGGAACATTAAGCAGTCAATATCATTTTGGATGTCCTTTTTTGTCTTCATTACTCTAAACTAAGTGTCCTGAAAGTTAAGCAATAGTGAATGAGAAAAATTGAACACACTATAATGAAATTTAACTGAAGTTAAATGCTTACTTCAGTGGCTACTAAGTGGTTAACATCAATTTTCTGGAAGGTAGTGACTTATTTATTCTTGCTTTGTTCCCAAAATAATAAAAAGCACCAATAGGGCTTCATGGGAATGTGGGAAAAGAAAAGTAACTGTTTCTCAGTGAATTTTTTAAACTTCATAATTCTTACTTTAAAGAAATCTAAAAGCAAATATCTTGTGTACCAAATGTACAACTTCGCTAAATTTTTTCGTGTGCTAGATAATTGTCTCTTTTTTGCCAACGCATGGTTTTAGCACTGATACATAAAGACAGACGGAAAGTATATTTTGGGGTCAAATAACATATATTAAGTCAAATATGAGAAATGATTTTTATTTATAAATGTTTTCAATTTAACAGAATCATGTTAATAGATATTTGCTATATTTTCCCCTATATAGGGTCGAATAACTTGTTTAATGATTTTTGTTGAATAAAGAAAATAATTTTGTCATCTAATGTCTCTGAGACCAGCCTTCTCTTCCATCTAAGCGTAGCATGGTCTTTTGATACAGGAAATGAATAATTTAGAGAGAATAAATACATAATGGGAAATAAAGAATCTGTAGTATAGAAGTACACTACACTGACAATATTGACTATAGAGGTATTATTATTTCCTAAATAAAATACCATTTCCTTAAGAGCATAATGATATTCCTTTCATTTAAGTAGTTGAATTCTGACATAAACCAGCAAATTGCACCAAATAATAGCTTAATAATCTGCTAAGCAAATCAAAAGTAAAATAAAGTCTAATAATGACTGATAATTACATATAGATTCCCAAACCTCAACTTAATTGAATGGACATAACACAGAAGAGGGAGTTCAAAGATCAGTGTTTAAGTTGATCCACTTACCAGATGAAGTCAACTTGGTCCCTGAGGAAGTTACCTATCCTCGCTAAAACCCAGTTTTGTCGAAAGTGAAGTAGGAATAAAGCAATACCTTTATTGTTGTTGTGAGACTGTAATCAGATATATGTGATAACCCTCTGTAAACTGAAAGCACTGTACAAATAAAGGTATATGTTATTAATTACAAAAAAACCCCACAAATGGCAAATCAGCTTTACATCTATATACTCTTCAAGAAAACTCAGGATAAGTAATGTTGCTGATTGTCTCAAAATTGGAAAGGAAAATTTTTGGATTGAGAACACTTGATCAAAAGAGTATAGGATTAAAAATCTTAATTAAACTGACAGAAGTATATATGTTTATATTACCTATTCCTGAAAGGGAATTTGAAGGAACTTGTGTATCTAAACAAATTTTTTTTAAATTAAAGATTAAAATGAAAGAAAAATCACTCCTAGAGAATAGGGAAACACAAATTTTTCGAACCTGTTACAACTTATTTAGTGTAGTCGGCATTCAAATTCTAGCTGAGCTGTAGTGAAATTGTTGATATAGACAGATTGAGTGAGACCAATTTCTCACAGCTGGTGTGAACTTCTTCATGAAGGATATGCAGCTGTTAGCTCTCATGTGTGATGCTGCAGAGTCTTGCACACTCCCCAATGCGTCTTCTACATTCTACCTGCACTCTTCTGTTTCCAGCCACAATCAGAGCTGCCTCACAATTAGAAAATCATCTCACCTTGGACTTTATTCTGATGTTGACTATTTAACTCTATGTCCCTCAAATTTATTCTAACCCATGTGAAAACATCATCTGAAAACATCTGTATATTTTTGCCCTGCTTTCTCTGCTGACTGAGAAAAATATTCCTCCTCTTTTCCAAAGCTAACCAACCTTTTGTGATTTGCACAGTCATCATCTAGAGAATCCAGATCCCCTTATGTTATCAATCTTCTTTCTATATATTGTATTTCAAATTCTCTCTCTCTGTCTCTACTTGTTCCTTCCTCTCAGTAAAATAATGATGTTTCTTGTATTAAAAAATACATTTACCAATTCCTGCCTTATCCTAAAGAGGGAATATAATCTATGAGGTAAACTGATTTGATCTAAACTACTGGCTGCCTATTAGCTATCCAGATCCTCTATCCCTCCAAGTTTTAAGCATGTGTCATTTTAAAAAAAAATTCTATCCCTTTCCAACTGTATTTGCATTCAGCATATTTTGTTGTGCAGATTTTCCCTGCAATACTTTTGTTGTAATTCTGTTTTATATTCTTCCACAACCGCACACATTTCTGCTTTTATTGTTTTTTTCTGGATTAATTGGCGTAGCCTATTAATTGGTGTTTGCAACCTAACTTCACTATCTCTGATCTATATTTTAAATTATTACAAAAATACCTTTCCTAAATCATACTCCTCATTTATTTTTGCTGAAATCTTGGTGATTTCCATTGACTGATAAATAAATTATCTCCTAAGCAAATGATTTGAAGCAACATACTCTAAATAAGCTTTCCAACCCCTCTCCCTACAGCTAAGCTTCATATATCCGTACTTTACAATTGCAACTCAATAAAACTTTTCAGTGCTTTCCTGCCTCTATGTGTGTAATTACAATTTTCTTATACCAAGATCACCATTTTATACTTCTCAGACTCCAGATTGCCTTGGATGCATCTTTATACTTTATACTTTATTTAATGTTTTCCTCTTCAAGTAAATATTCTAGGTTCCCAAGCTAGAACTTCTTTCCATCCTTTAATTTTCCAGAAAATTTGTGTTTTCCTTTTGACATTTCCTTTCTACCTTATACTTAATGTCTTCATTCATCTATGTTTTCTTGGCTGGTAGATTCATGCTCATCAGTGTCAGTGATCATGTCAGTTTTGTCTCTGCTTAATTCTCCATTCAATCTTTTCATTTTGAATATACTTGGGATTCAGTTAAAAGTAAACGAAGGTTGATTTTACATTTATCTACTAAATAAAGCATAAAGGACAAATTATTCTTTTTCTTTCATGTCAAAACAAACATGCACATTTTGCAGCATGTTTGTGCACACCTACACACAAAGAGCCCATGAAATCTCATCAACTTAAAAAAAGAAACCTTGTGCCAAGTGATGTTTACATGGTAGGTGAAAAGAGAATACTGGATGACAGGAAGGATGACAAGTCAAGTGAACCAAATCTGAAGTGGTAATTTTTACAACCTGAATAATCTGCTCTCCATATGTTTCCTGCAAATCCTAGGAAAGGTACTAAAATCATGATCTTTGCATTAGAGTAGAGCATATAAAGATTCACCTCTTAGCAGAAATACATTAAAAATAGAGAATAAGGAAGAAAGCTTTTTGGCAATCTTTCCTGACAATGTGTGCAAATCTGAAAAGCCAAATGGAAAGAGGAGTCTGCTAAGCTTTATCACACAGCACATGCAAAGTCATCACACATCATAATGCTTTCATATCATATGTCCATTTCACATTCTCAGACATGGCACCACATAGTTAAGCCTCCAGCAGCTGGAGAAATTATAATGCAGCAGTGGTCTACCCATTTAGTTCAGTGATTCCTTTAGAATTCTTGGCTTCAATAACTTAAGACAAATAGAAAGTTTTATGCTTATAAGTTGAACCCAGACTGTGACTTAGCTTTTCTTATATATTTTTTTAAAGTTTCAGTTACTTTAAGTTAAAGGAATCCTATATAATTTGAACTGGGAGAAGTCAAGTGAGGTCATACTCTTACGGAGATATTGATGCAAGTTTTCATATTCAATCTAGTATATGATCTTGTCTTTCCCGTTTGTCTGTATATTCATCTCTCCTGGGTTCCTCATTGTGATGTTTTTCAAGAGTCTGATTGCAAATAAGCATGAAGATATGGGCTACCATTTGGTAAACAGATATTTTAGGTGATTTGGCCATATCACAAGGGATGATTTTATTTTATCATCATCTTCAAATATTTGCCATATTGGTAATTTTCTTGAGAGAGTATCCTCTTTATTAGAAAATATGAATACTGTTTTTGAAACATCTATGGTATACTTGTTATTGGTTCCCACATATTTTCATGAAAACAGCATATCAAAAGTGTTAGTATTTGAATTTCTGTGTTAAGGAGAACCTATTCTCCTAGGAATTGAACCAAATAGAGGTTATAAGGTTATATTGTAACAAATAAGAAGGTTTCACCCCCTATTTATCTTTTTAGGTAATAGAAGATTCAATAAAATAATTTAAAATTTGCCATTATACATCTGCGTGACTTTTTCTAGTTGTATAGGAGTGGTAATATGACAGGAAGAATGTGTTTTGGGCATGATGGTCTGGGTTTGATTGATTCTCAGCTTCCTCTCTCCACTTGATGTGTGATATTGAACAAGTTATTTAGAAAACCTATTTTGCATCTATTTAATCCTCTGTGAAATGGGGATAGTAAAACCTACTTTGAAGTTTTTCTAAGGATTTAAAAATATGACATGAGGAAAACTGTCTAATATCCCCATTAAATAGTCTCTTTTTCTTCTTCATGCCTCTACCTCCATTATAAAGCTAATTGGAGCACCTTGTTGCCTTTAAGATGGATTATCTATGAAGATCTAATTTTAAATTCTATATTACATTTGATTTCTGTGCACATCTTAATGCTATGTCTATTTCCAAGGCATCTGGTTGCCTTCACTATTTAAAAAAGAAATGCTTATTTTTTTAAAAAAAGTAGTGCCAGTAAGCAAATGACTTAAATGTACTTTACCTTAGTTAATTCTCATAACAGTTATCCAAAATAGATATTATTTATCTTTAATCTATAAATGAGGAAACTAAGGTTAAAAGGTTAAGTGACTTTTACAATACCACAAAGGCTAAGCAAGGTTAAGTGACTTCTATAATACCATGAGTAAGTAGCAGTTATGGGAATTGAACTCAGGTTTTCCAGTTTTAAGCTGAGTGACCTTTCTACTCTTCCACTCTGGCAGAGCTTTATTTCACATAGCTTTCCCACTCCCTCTCTTTAATGCACTTCTACATTTTCCATGTTAAACGCTATGTTTTACCCTCGTTGGCTTCCTCTTTCTGCTCTCCTCTAGCAACCTGGAAAAAAGTCTGCCTATTTCTGTAAATAAGAATCTTTAGGTACAGTTATTTAGGCACATTTGACAGACATTTAGCCAAGAGAAAATATTTAAAGTGAAATATTTGGTATACTTGTCAAACCAAAAGAAAAAATGTGCTTATCAGTTACATAAAATATCTTTTTTGGGTAAGTGGCAGAATGTTACATTTTTATAACATCACTTAAAAATGCCACTTGAGTGTGTTACATGCTCATTAACAACAAAGAAAATACATCAAAGAAATATAACTATTTGCACAATTCACATTTAAGGGTAGTAATCCAGGAGCTTGGAAATAAGGCTGTGATAAATGTTATTAGGTAAGTAACCAGGTATAGGCTTCAGGAAAAAAAAAAAAAAAAGAATGTCCTATATGGAAATGAAAAATCTGAATAATGCTTGGATCACTTCTATAGGGCTTTTGAGTAGCTTTGTGTTAAAGACTTATGACCTACTCCTATAGTTATTGGGAAATAAAATGGAACAGAGAAAGAATAAGAGAAAGAAAAAAGAGAAAGGTAAGAAAGAAACTGAGCTACTGAAACATACTTATCATGAACAGAATTAACAAAAATGGATACTAATTATGTTAGTATCTGAAGTATTATAGATACTAATACTAATTATGTTAGTATCTGTAATTCATTGAGTACTGTCAAAAATAAAATCACATCAAGTTAGAAAAAAATATATAAACTAATTGTGCATTCAAAAAAACAGTTCACAAACCCAGAGATCACAAACCAAGAGTGGAAAGAAGTCTCACTTACAGCAGTTACAGCACAGCTGATAAAGCATAGAAGAGGATGTATTTTGACCTTATTCATTATTGGCTATTGTACATTAACATTCTTCATAAGAAAAACAGAGCTGTTTAAGCTAATTTTGTCTATAGATGATTTTTTAAGATTTCATTGAATCATGCCAATGAGGATGTAAAGCTTACATGGTGTCTTTTATTTATCATTAGAGCAAAAGTTTGGGGAAAATCAGGACAACTTAAGTTTTGGCTACGTGGATATGAGTGGCTAGCCTTGGGCTATATGTAAATCGTGGTTTCCATTTTAATCTTTCTTTAACAGTTCCCACCATATACTTGGGAAAATTTATATATAGATATACAAAAAAAAGTTTCAGTAAGCTTCCTAAAAATCATGCTAAAATCACGCAAAATAAGCTTATCTATTTCCCTTTAAAAACCTATAAAATAGACTTATTTATTTTAGATAAGGAAATAGTCTTAATGAAGTTAAATAATTTGTCCAAGATCACACCACACACACAGTGGGATGATTTGAAGTTTCCTCTATATTGATGTAAAATGAATGCTTTCACAATACCAAGCAGTCTTTTCACAAAAATAATGTATCACTTTAATAAGTAATAGGAACACCACAACACTAAGAAATTTTCTTTAGCTACCATCAGTCATTAAATATTAAAGCATATTATTTCTAAATATATTTATTATAATTTTTATCTCAAATGATACTCTGATAAAATTAACAGGAAACAAATTTTAAAAGGCTATTGTAGAGAGAGTCACCTGTGGATGAAAAAAGAACATATATCTGATTCCTTTTGAAATGAGGGCTATGAAACCACACAGTAAAGTGTAACTTTATGGAATACAAAAAACAGGAAGTCTAAGTGATTTGAGCAAATATGACAAAAAAAGAAATGAGTAAGTTATCTCTCTACTTAATCACACAAATGTTTACAATTTCAAACATTGTTATTTTGAACTCTGATAAGTAAAGTGGTTTTCTTTTAGAAGTTTGATTTACAAATAAACTCTGGCACATCCCTAAAATTTAGTTGCCAAAAAAATGAATGTGATCATAGAGAAGAATCTTTAAAACAACAGGAAATTTACAGAGCTATATTGAATTAACAAATGACAATTTAACCAAATAAACAGACTACAGTCCCAACTGTGCCTAAAATTATTAAATTTAGATGTATGATTGATAAATAGAAAGATATAAATAAAAATTCAACAGAGGTTATCTCTGGATAGTGTGGTTATTATACATAATTTTAAATTTTATATTGTGCTCGTTTAAATGTTCTCAGATGGACTACATTAATTTTGTGTAGCAAAAAGACAGTAATGCTAATATCAAAAGTCAAAGTTTACTTAGCTTAATTTGGATGCCAATTGTTCAGATATTTTTCATGCATTTTCTTTAGTTAGATTCCACTAACAAGTGACTGACAAAGGAAAATAAAGAGAAACTCCTTTTTCAAAGAAAAAGAAAATAAGGCAGCCCTTTTTTGGTTGTCAGTATGATCACGTCAGACTATAAGACCCAGGGAGAAAGACATTTCATTTAGACTGTGCTGTGTACAGAGCTATTGCTGCTATGCACACAATTATGATCATTGACAGTCACTCAATCTCCTTCCCTCTCTTCTGCACCATTGCTGCCCTGGTGCTGCCTTGGCAGCATATTTAGGTTTTAAGTTGTCAGTCACGATTCTTTTAAATTCTCAAAAAATGATAAAAATTCATAATATGAAAAGATGCCTGGTGAGACAAAGTTTTGGCCAGACAATTGAATTGGTTTCCCTTTGCGTTGCTCGGCAAATGTTTAATACACCAAACGTTCCATAATCCAATGAAAGTAAGTTTTCTTGTTTTAGTTTCCATAAAATATATTTCATTTTTATAGAATATTAAACTACGGCTTCACAACATCCTGAGACTGTCTGAGATTAAACAGGGAAATCAATCAGAACAAAACATGATCCCCTTTGCTCCTCTGCATCAAAGCACTGCAATCCATTCTCTAACTGTTCCCAAGAGTAAAATATTCATTAAGCTGAAATATACACATTGCCATAAATTAAAGCAAATATATACCTCTGCACAATCTATTTTAGGCTGGGTGATCAATTCCACTTACCATTTTCCAAAAGAAAATAGATGGTGTTTTTTCAGTGTTTCAAATGGAATTTTCAGAGAATCTGGAAATTAAAGAAAAGTTTACAATAATAACACTAATTTACAATAATAACAAATAGAGTTTTAGTGGATCTAAAATTGAATTCTAATCTCTGTGTGTGTGTGTGTGTGTGTGTGTGTGTGTGTGTGTGTGTGTGTGTGTGTGTGTTCCTTCATGAACCAAAATGACCTAGGAGATGTTTACCACCCAAGAGATCATCCCTGTAAGCTCTGGAAACCTAAGGTACCTAAGGTACACAAAGAGATAGTAATCTTTGAGTTGCAGGAGCAGCTAATTTGGGAGTAAACAATAGATTTTTTCATGAAGTTCCTATCCCACTGCCAAAGCCAGTTGGCCATATATGTGGCTGGCCATGCTGAATAATAAGGTTTGGGACCAGATTGTTCCCTTGTAGTATATGAACTGTTCGACCTTCAATTTCATTACCACAGTTCTTCATGCACACATTTTTCAGTAAACTTGAACAATTTACTACACCTAGAATTGTATGAAACATATACCATAATTGATAATGAAAAATGTTTTATTTTATACTGAGGTTTTCTTTATTTATTGATCTTTTTTCTTTCTTTCTTTTTCTTTCTTCTTTCCTCTTTTTTTTCTACAAAATCAATTAGATATATATAAAAACAACCAAGAAACTTGTTAATTATAATTGAATTATTTAGGCTTTTTTGTGCCCATTTATTCTTAGATTAAAATCCGATTTTTTAGTAGAAGTTCACTCCTGGAAAATTAAGCCAAATATTCATAATAATATCCATTTGTTGTTTAAAATAAATGTTTCAAATTTCTGATGTTTTTAAGTGCAGAAAGATTAGTGTACAATGTATTCCAATAAGTGCTATGAACAGAAGGAGTTAGGACTTTGATTATATGTCTCATCTCAGAAAATCACCTTCAGAAACCTACAGTGCCCTAACTTGAGCATAGGGCACTGTTGAAATTACATTAAAAAGTCAGGGAAAATGTAGTTACAAGGTAAAAATGTAAGAGTAGTAATTACTTGGTCTGTGTTAGGGCAAAGTCATGAGACAGAGTCACAGAATGAAACCCGATTAGCAGAGCTTATAAAAAGAAATAAGGAAACACTTACTGTAAGTGCCTGAGAATCAAAAGAATGTCACTGCAGAGTGTAAGTCCACTACTTAATAGGAAAAGGGAAAATTACAGACTACAAGAGGGCCAACACATTTAATTGCTCCTTGGGTTATTCTTTGCTAAATACTAATAATTGTAAAAGGTTGCTTAATGTGATAATAGTTACCAAGGTTGAAGAGATCAAAAGACAATGTCAGAAAGTAATAGATTGAGGTGAGTAAACATAATTGTGAATACATTCATATTAATGGTACCCTGAGAAGTACCAAAGAAAGAGATGCATCTGATGCTGAGATGACTATGAGAATATATTAAAATAAATGGAAAATATTCATTTATATTTGAGCTATCAAAAGACAAAATTATTCCAGGAAACATTTTAAAATTGATAATTATAAAATCAATCAATTAGAAATTATTTGTTAAATATCTATTATATTTGTAAGACAGGCTAGGGATTTTGGGATAGCAAGTATATAAAAGAAAATTTAAAAAACTAAAAATTGTTACTATTTTCACCAAATGTAATGTCACTATGATTTTAAAAACACACAAACATTTAAAGAATAAAATATATAAGAATAAATAATATTAACAGAATAAAATCTAGAAAAAGATACCGAAAAGGCTTTCAGACTACTGTATATATTTTTATAGGTGAGATGTTTCATACTCTCAAGGATAAGTAGTGAGCATCATTTATTCCAAGAGTAAGTAAATGACTTAATTTGATAAATTTATTAGAATTCATTTTATTTCTTGCTCAAATTAAACAAAATATTATATGCATATTAATTAACTAATAAATCCTTTCATTAAATTTCCAAAACCATTCCTGTTTGAATAAAATCTTAGTAGCAGATTAAAAACAAAAAATATTTAATGGTGAAACACTGAAAGCAGTCCCATTATAAACAGGAGCAATAAAGCATAGCAATCTTTATTACCTTTATCCCAAAATTATTCTGTACATTCATCCAATTTGTTTTCATATGCTGAATATGTTTTATTCAACCGCAGCTATATTTTAATGTATAATTATCTCAACTTGGGAAACTAATAGTACTTTCTAGTTGTTTTCTTCGTTGTTGTGCCTTGGCCATATTAGTTTTTGTTAGTTTGTTTGTTTTTTGTTTTTGTTTTGGAGATGGAGTCTTACTCTATCACCCAGGCTGAAGTGCAGTGGTGTGATCTCAGCTCACTGCAAACTCTGCCTACCAGGTTCAATTGATTCTCCTTCCTCAGCCTCCCAAGTAGCTGGGATTACAGATGTGTGCCACCATGCCCAGCTAATTTTTGTATTCTTAGTAGATATGGGGTTTTACCATGTTGTTCAGGCTGGTCTTGAACTCTTGACCTCAGGTGATCCACCTGCCTTGGCCTCCCAAAGTGCTGGAATTACAAGCGTGAGCCACCGCGCCCGGCCCCGTATTAGTTTTTTAATAGCTTACTTTCTGACACACAAAAAATGTTTCGGGCCCATTTTGCACATTTCTTATCTTAAAACTGGAATCAGCCATTTCTCTATGAACCTGGTTTCTTTAGTGGGGTAAGCTAGTGGTAGTTCTGCCATACTTTTACACACACACACACACACACACACACACACGTGCGTGCATCTTTCTAAAGTATTTCACCATGTGTACTTCTTCTGATTTTTAAGAAAGTCTGTACTGTTTTTTATTGGATATATTTATATTAATTTCTTATTTGGCAATCTTTAGTTCCCTCTCATTTTTGATACTTCTGAAAGTGTGATGAAATTAAAAATACCTGGCTCACATTTTCTTTTTTAAGTATCTAAATAATGTTGCTCTAAGATCTTTTTGCATAAAATAGCACAGCTGAGAAGTCTGGTGCTAATTTGATTTTCTTTCTTTCTATGCTGAATTTTTTTTTTTTTTAACTAATGGCTTGTCTTCATTAGTCATTTTCCTGAATACCCAACAGACGCTTTTTAAATATTTAATGTTTAATCATTTTAAAAGGGTATATCTCAGAATTCGTCATTCATGTCCAAATTCCCAGGGAGCTTTTCCATTTGTAATCACAATTATTGGTGAAAATTTGGTATTGATATTGCAGGTTAAAAATATGCATTCTAACCTATGACTTGGTTATTTTCTCAGTTTACAAATAAATATATCATATATATCCTTTGCCTGTCTTCTAGATCTGTGATTTTTCTTATAAACTTTTACCTTTAGTTCTAATTATTTGTATTCATTTTATATCACTTATTTTACTGTGCTTTATGTGATATCTATGAACCTTTATCTTTCTTCTCAATTAGGCTAATTTTTAAAATATTTTCCTTCTACTTTTTGTTTCTTATACCTAAATTCTGACACTTTTCTTTTTATTTTTGTTATCTTATTCTTTGGCTGTTCTGATTTATAATATTATTTCCAGGCTTTGACATTTATTTAATGCCTTTTAAGTTATTCTGAAAAATTTATGTAGCTTGTGTATATTCTGTATAGGAAAAATTTAATGGCATTTTTCTATAGTATTGGGATATTACATGATTAATGTTTATATTTTATTAGAATTTTTATAGGATTTGATCATACATTTTGTATTTCTCAAAAATGTTTTTTCTGTGTGGGAACAAAGATGGGTCACAGTAATTTTCCAAGCAAAAGGAGACAAGGAAAAGCAAAAACGAAGGTAAGAGAATTGCTCTATTATATGCCAAGACATACCTCCAGATAACAGTCATAAAAATAATGTAGTATTAACCTAGCAATGGACAAATACACCAGTGTAATAGAAGTGGGTCCATATATAAAATAATTTAACAAAAAAATAAAATGGCACCAAAATCAAAAGGGAAAGGTAGATTATCAAATAGATAGAAAATAAATTAGAATCCTCATCTAATCCCCATATAAAGGTGAAATCTAGGTGAAACTATGGAGTAGGTACAGGCAAAGTATCATTTTTAAAAAACTTCAAAAACACAAAGCATAAGATAAGAAATTTATGGATTAATGGTTAAGAGCTCCATTACCTACTAGCTGAGTGAACTTGGACAATCCTTTAACTTCTCTGTGACTCAATTTCCTCATATTTGCAACAGGTATTAAATGATTTAATATATGAAAAATGTTTAAAGCAATGGCTAGCACACAGTAAATGCTAAATAAGGGCCTAATGGTACTTCTGCTACTTTGCCCAATCAAAGATTTTTGATCAAGGAAGGGTACCACAGGCAAGGTAATTGACAGAACAGAGAAGGTATTTGTACTGTCTGTAACTCACAAGTAATAGCATTTACAATATGAGAAATTTCTGCAAAACTCCATAACAAAATAGCAACTTGATAGAAAAAAATGAGCAAGGAAATAAAACAGGTTATTTATAGTAGAGGAAACACAAAAATCCATTAGTTGGAACAATATGTTATTGCCATTTTTTGTGAACCAAAAAATGTTTGGATATCAACAATTTTATATGGTTCAAATTAATTAGTAATTGATGAGACACTCAAGATTTTTAGTAATCGGAAAAATTCAAATTAAAACTGCAGTGGAAAAAAATTAAAAGGTTTTGTAATGCTAAATGTTGGCAGGGATGTAACGACATAGGAAGCTTCATATCCTGCTGGTGAGTATGTCAAGCAAGACAACCATTCGAAAGAATTCAAGTCATGTTTAGTCAAATTTTATATGCACATATCCAAAGAAACAGCAAGTCCACTTGTGGATATGTATCCCAAATCTTCTCTGGTTCATAGAGTTATATATGAAGATGGTTCTCTGAGTGTGTGGTGTTAAGAAGGCAGAAACAACCTTTGTGCCCATCATTGGGAAAGTGGTCAGGTAAAATATGGCAAATTCACACCATGAAATATAATGCAACATTTAGCAGCAACTGACTAAATGCAAAATGCATACATATCAACAGAGATGGATCTTACTAGCCGTATGGCATATCTTAAGGTAAGAAGCATATGACAATATTGTTTATATACACATTAAATATTACACACTTTGCAATGCAGTCAAGTAGAAAGTTACACATCAAACATTTAAATGTTTGATGCCTATGCAGAGAGGGGAAGGAGCTTGTCGTTATGGGAATTAAATGCCTATGCAGAGAGGGGAAGGAGCTTGTGGTTACGGGAATTAAAGGAAACTAGTAAAAGAAGAATGTGAAATACCCCAAATATTTAAGTCAAAAACAAAAGCAAAATTAAAAGGCAAATGCAAACTGAAAAAAAAATTGTTGCAAGAGAAATAACAAGATCATCTCCTTAATTTTTTTTTTCAAGAGCTTTCAACAGGCCAGGTGCAGTGGCTCACACCTGTAATCCCAGCACTTTGGAAGGCCGAGGCGGGTGGATCACCTGAGGTCAGGAGTTCGAGACCACCAGCCTGGCCAACATGGTGAAACCCCATCTCTACTAAAAATACAAAAATTAGCCAGGCATGGTGGCAGGTGCCTGCAATCTCAGCTACTCGCGAGGCTGAGGCAGGAGAATCGCTTGAACCCAGGAGGCGGAGGTTGCAGTGAGCCGAGATGGCACCATTGCACTCCAGCCTGGGGGACAAGAGTGAGACTTCATCTCAAAAAAAAAAAAAAAAAAAAAAAAAAGAGCTTTCAACAGTGAAAAGAAAAAAAAAACAGTAAAAACAGTAACATATCTATCAAAAAATGGTGCTATGGTCTGAATGTTAGTGACCTACCTACAAAATTCCCGTGTTGAAACCTAATCCCCAATATAATGGTGTAAAGAAGTGGGACAATTCGGAGGTAATTAGGCCATGAAGGTGAAATTCTCATAAATGAGATTAGTGTCCTTATAAAAGAGCCTCAAGGGAGCTTGTTTGCCTCTTCCACCCCATGACAAAACAGCAAAAAGGCACCATCTATGAACCAGGAAACAGGTCCTCACTAGACACCAAATCTGCCATCACCTTGATCTTAGACTTCTCAGGCTACAGAACTGTAAGAAATAAGTTTCTGCAGCCTATAAGGCACCTAGTCTATGGTGTTTTGTTATAGCAGACCAGATGGACTAAGAAAGATGGACAAGAGGAGAAATATTGAATAAGTAAAAATTTACAATAGGGATATTAAAAAAACTTTTTTCCATAGTAAAGTCATTATAATATAAAATTAAAAGGTTTTATTTTTTACACCGGCTATTATTGTAGCTAAGGCTAGGCTATAATAGTAAAATGTTGACTTCAAGAGAAGAGAAGCACAAGAAATAGCAGACAATTAAAATATCATGTGTCAATTCATAGGAAACATGTTAAATAAATTGCAGTGTATAAATATATATATATGGAGCATCATGCAGTCAAATAACAGGAATGAATGAAGCTCTCCATGGCCCAAAATGAAAAGATATCTACGATCCAGAGTTGAATAAAGCAAGCAGGATACACGACAGTATGCGTAGTAACCTACCATTTGTATTGACAAGACAAAAAGAATATATTTATAATTACTTGTAGATGCGTAAATGGAAACAATAGTCCAGCTTAGATGATTTTGTTTCAAGCCAGTTCACTTCTTTTTTCTAGTCTTCACCACTCTGTGGAATCTTATTAATCTATGCAAATACTTGAAAAAAAGTCTCACTTGCTTCCCAAAAAGAAATAATAATTTTCTGGGGCAATGCACATACATTTAAGAAACAGCACGAGTAAAAGCTATATATTTCCTTGATCATCAAGGCCAGTATTTATTAAAGATATATTTAATTTTTATAAAAATTTGGACAGAAATTTTACCAATGCTGTCTAAGGCATTGGAATTAAGGTTCATAGTGAGTTTAATATTGTTATTTTCTTTTTTGTATTTGTTTAAAATTGACAAGTAATAATTGTATGTAATCATGGGCTACATAGCGATGTTTTAATAAATATAATGTATAGCAATCAGACTACGGGAATTAGCGTATCTATCATATCAAACATTTATCTTTTCTTTGTGTTGGGAACGTTCACTATCATTCTTTAGCTATTGCTCAACATTAATCATCAGGGAAATGGAAATCAAAACCACAAAGAGGTAACACCTCACCTCAGTTAGGATGCTATTATCAAAAAACAAAAAAATAACAACTGCTGGTGAAGATGTGGAGACAAGAGAGCCCTCCCTATACACTGTTGGTGTAGATTTAAACGACTACAGCCACTGTAGAAATAGTATGGAGGTTCCTCAAAAAACTTCAAACCGAACTACCATATCATCTAGCAATCCCACCACTAGGAATTTATCTTAAAAAATCATCATGTTGAAGATACATCTTCATCCTCGTGTTTCCTGCAGCACTTTTCACAATAGTGAGATATGGTCTCAACCAAGGTGTCCTATGTTTGAAAAAATTAATGGAGTGAGGAAGGTGGGTGCTGAACATACTTGAAGCAGAAACAATGAGGAGAAAACAACAAAAAACTGGAGAAATCACTTACAGAACAGAAAGAGTTCCTTTTAGAATACTAGCACAGGCTCATTTCAAAGCAAGTATAGAAAATAGAGGTGAAACCACCACCAAAATTGATTTGTGGGACACCCAGGCAATCATTAGGGACTCCAAGTATTACTCAGGAAAATAAATTAGGCAAAAGAATATTCTTCCCCACTTTTTATTGTAGTATGTGAGGTGAAACTCGTGTACGTGTTTGTGTGTGTATGTCTGTGTGTGTGCACGTGTGTGTAGAGAGAGAGTGGTGTTACTGCAATGGACTACTAAAAGATATCTAAAAATCTATTCCTGCATCTTTAACTTTTATTCTCAATAGAGAAGCCATAGCGATTATTTAAAATATAAGTATGTTAGTGTCAATACTCTTCTCAGAGCCCTTTAATAGATAGTGAAGACAAAGAAGGCTCCAAAAATGCAAGAGCAATTCTGACCCCACCACCCTGGCACCAAAAAAAGAGCTCCAGGTGCTAGCTGTTGAAAGTGAAAGCATATTGAAGCTTCCCACCTTCGTTATGTCTCAACAGATTAATATAGTAAAAAAGGGAGATAAGAGAATCTCAGCAAAGCACTGACACTATCCTCTACACAATAAATAGAGGAAACAAAAATCAAAGACTGAGACTAAGGACAATTTAATGTTAAGAGGACAGAGAAAAGCAGGAACCTATGAAGATGGCTGAGAAAGAGTGACCAGTGAGGACGAAGTAAAACTAAGAGTACATGTATTCATTTCTTACTGCTGCTATTTAAAAGTGCTGTAAACTGGGTTCCTTAAAACAACAGAATTGTTTTTCTCTCTCAGAGTTCTGTAGGTTAGAAGTTGGAAGTTCAGGTGTCAGTAGGTCCTGCTCGCACCAAATGCTTTAGGAAAGAATCCTTCCTTCCCTTATCTAATTTTTTGTGGTTGCTGGCAATCATTGGTGTTTCTTGGCTAGTAGATGTGTCAGTTTAATCTATGACTATCTCCACATGGCCTTCTCCCCTGTATGTTTGTGCTTTCACATTGTCTTCTCTCTGTTCATATATCTGTAACCAAATTTCCCTTTTCTTATATTGAATTTGGTGCCTGCCTGTATTTAGCATTTTCACATTGCTAAAGATACTACCCAAGATGGGATAATTTATAAACAAAGGATGTTTAACTGACTCACAGTTCCACATGGCTGGAGAGGCCTCAGGAAACTTAAAATCCTGGCAGAAGAGGAAGCCGGCACCTCCTTCATAAAGTGGCAGGAGAGAGAGTGCTGCAAAGGGGGAACTTCCAAACACTTTTAAAACCATCAGCTCTCCTGAGAACTCCCTATCATAGAAAGGCATGGGGAAACTGCCCCCATGCAATCACTTCCCACAGCTCCCTCCCTTGACACGTGGGAATTATGGGAATTACAATTCAAGTTGAGATTTGGGTGGGGACACAGAGCCAAACTGTATCACTGCCCTAATTCAGTATGACATCATAATTTTATCACATCTTCAAAGACTTTCCAAATAAATACACATTCACAGGTTCCAGATGGATATGAATTTTGCAGGAACACCATTAAATCCAGTAGAGTAAGGTGTCCTGATAGCCAATGGAGAAAGATTGTCAAGGAGGAAGAAATAATCAATTGGCCAAATCCTGCAAGTGAGAAATAGTCTTTGAAAAGTTCACTGATAACTTTGACAAGATCATTCAGTGGAACATTGGAAACAATTTTTTTTTGAGACAAGTTATTGCTCTGTCACCCAGGCTGGAGTACAGTGGTACAATCATAGTTTACTGTAACCTCAAACTCCTAGGCTCAAGCAATCCTCCTTTCTCAGCCTCCCAAGTAGCTATAACTATAGATATGTGCTACCATGCCCAGCTAATGTTTTATTTTTTTTAAGAGACAGTGTTTTGATATGTTGCCCATGCTAGTCTTTAACTGTACTCCTGGTCTCAAGTATTCCTCCCACCTAGGCCTCCCAAAGTGCTGGGATTATAGGCATGGGCTACCACACCCAACGTGGACACAAAATTCTAATTTAAGAAGATAACAAAAAAATAAGTATTGAATAATTAGAGCAACTAAACATAGAAGAATGCTGCTAACAGAAAAATACATTATTAGCTTTGTAGTAAGTAAAATGTTCTTGCTTTAAAGATAAGCTGAGCAATAAATAAAATACTTTTCATTTTTAAGAAAGAAGAAATAGCAATACATTTTTAGATATAAAGTACTGATCCAGTAGAGAATAAATAGGGATGAAACAAAGGAGACAAGGTGGAATTACTGGAGTGATGTCTTCAGTGGGCAAGAGATGATGTGTAAATTGGCTTTGGGAGGAATATGAATAGCTTATCTCTGGAAACAGATGGAATGCTAGAGTATGTGGGTGTAGATGCTGGAAGGTGCATAGACACAGAGTCTGGAGATTTCTTGTGATTGTTTCAGTTTCCTCAATCAAGTAGGAAGCAAAATCATTAGCTAATAAAGATAATGTAAGAGCAGAGGTTTGAAATTAAAGAGAGGAGGTGTGAAATATTTACCTAGGTAAGTGGTTTAGTGAATAGACCAGGAACATATTACATGATTGTTCAGGAGTATTAAAGGACTCCTACAAGTTTATAGTCATGAATTTAAAATGTTTATGGGGTTGGATGTTTTTATCTAGTCATATTTAGCTGGCTCAGCTATGTGGATCTCTAAATTCAATCAACTATGTGGTTTTTGTTTCCCCAAGCAAATAGAAGAAAGCAAGAGAGGATCAAGGGAGTCAAGTGTATAAATATGGGAGTTATTATATTGAGAGACCATAGAATTAGAATTTCATCTGTGTTATAAAAGTAAGGGTATATATGTATATATGGAATGAGAGAGTGAAAAGTTAATAGGATCAAAGAATTGAAAGCCACAGCAAAGTCACTGGAGTGAAGAGTAGTAGAGAGTGTGAGATTTAATAAATTATCTTTTTAAAGCTTTCTTATAAAATCTGTTGAACTGACTAGTAAGAGAAAAGTATGTTTAGCGTACCTCATTCTTTTTCTTTCTGTGTATCCCCTGTAATCCGACTGTGTCTGAACTAAAAATGATCTGTCATAAGCATTTATTTTCCAAGACTTTCAAAAATTGTCTTCCTCATAAAATTTGAATTGGAAAATTCTACTTTTAATTCAGTCTCACAACATGAGAAATTTTTAAATAGATCTTTTTTCAGACACTTTTACCACTGATATTGATGAATTAAATAGTTATTAAATAATTTTTATTAATACTATTAATAAACTAGTAGAAGTATGATTTTATATAATCTCTACTAATCTGTTTTGTATCAAAATATTTGAAACATTTTAGTGGTTGCTTTTGTATGTATCATAAACAACTTTCAAGTGTCAAGTGTTAATACAGCATTTTGCTCCTATGTATATATGTCCTAATATGCATGTAAGTCTATTATTATATACATATTATTATTATAAATAATATATAATATATACTATATTATTATATAGTATATAATATAATAATAGACATACATATTAATTAAATGGACTAATAGAATTTCAAGATATAAGCATATAAAGAGATTTTTCACTCCAAGCTGCATCTGAAATGCTTAACTACATTTCGATGAGAATACTCAGAAATTAACAATAAATCTGAACTATGCCTTATTCATATTACTCGTATAGTTATATATTGATTACATGCAAGTCAGTTCTAGGCATTGAATATTGACTTTACCAAGAATATATGGAACTATAACAAGGCTAAAGTCAAACTTCAGTCTAAAATTAAATCAAGGATATTAATTGTATTTTCTAAATATTCTATATCTTTGCTTGTTTTTGCTCTGCTATAGCTGTTGTTTCAGGAAAGATGTGTTAAAATCTCCAACTAGAATTGTTACTTTACCTAATTCTTTCCATTGTCCTAGCATTTGCTAGTTTATATAGTTGAAGACTGTAACATAGAAGCATATATGACCATGATTGTTACATATTTTTTGGCTGATTGTGCCAAAGTATTATCTACTTCTAAAAAACAGAATTTACAGTAAAGAGGAAATCAACAGAACACTCTTACTATTTTGACAGACTATTATAAGCAAACATCGTAAAAGAGCAAACTCTATTCTCAAGTTCAGGCATATAAAGTAACGTGTCAAAAACTTGCATTAATTGTCTTTTAGACAAGAGCTAAAATTTGGTCAGCTTATGTATGTAGTAACTGCTGTTATCACTTGCAATCCATTATAAATCACTGTTATATACTTTGTGGAGAAAGCTGTGAAAGAATTTCCATAGTTTTACTACATATTAGACCTGTGAAGCTTTCTCTTCAGTTTGAAGCTATGTTTGCTATTTTTATCAAACTATTCTGTATCATATTCTAAGTGATTATTATTCTTGAAAAATGTATCTTATCTCTGATTACTCCACGTCTATTTGTACTCTCTGCCCTTGCTTTTCACTAGCAATTTATTTAATGCTTCATGTGAAGATTACTTAAATATTTTTTTAAAAAAATTTCTTTCCCATAGCTCTTAGGCAATATAATCAAAGTGAAATTGTGGAAGACCACTCATTGGAGGTGAACTCCTTCAAAAATTTCCCTGAAGCAGCAGTTGCAAGTGTGCCTAAGATGATTCTTTACTGTAGAATCTCTAGTGCATGAGTCTTCAGTAAAATGACTAGTATAGCATTTGTAAGATCACCAAAATAACAGCAACTCTCACATCAAAATGCCACTGGTATAGAACAGAGCAGCAGAAAGTGTTTCTGCTAAAACATATTTCCTGGAATTAAGGATAATGAGTTACTCAGCTACCTATTATTCATATGAATACATATCTAATTCAGATTCCTATACTACATGTGACCTTTTATTCGTAATAAGAATTTATAATGGGTGGAGTGATTGTCAAGTACTCATAATAATTCAAGCAAGTGTATATATTTTAGATCATTTGAGAGCAAACATTTTGGTCCTTGATTTTCCTTAAGATAATATCCAGTTGTAGTCTAATGACTGCTTTTTTTTTCCTTTCTTGTCACTTTTATTAAGGCTATTTACTGGTAGTGAGTCTTAACACATATATGTCCCTCCTTTTATTATATAATTCACCCTCCATGTCAGACATATTCCTTTACAACACTATTACTAATTAATATTACTTACCATTATTCTCCTTAAGTATACCACGACATATTCATTTAATTAGCCTACCACGTGAATTTTCCTAATTTTATCATATTTCATGAATCCACCTTTTGTAATAAAATAAGGACCTCCCAAAAAGAAAAAATTTTCTTATGTCACTGTTGATGTTAGCCCAAAACACACAAGTAAATAAAAGCAGATACATAAAAAATAAACATACACAGAAAAGTTCAGTAAGCCTATTGATACACAAGATGATTTTGGAGGTCATAATGATGATAATAATGGTAATAATAATTTGATGAAATCTTATTTGTCCACTTTTGCTTTTTCTGTCCATGTTTTCTGGGATTGTATCTAAAGAAAAAAAAATCATTTCCCAGCCCAATGTCATGGAGCTTTTCTCCTGTGTTTTCTTCTAATAGTTTTTACAGTTTCACGTCTTCTGACTAAAAGGCTACAGCACAGCAAAGGGAATAATTAATAGAGTGAAGAGACAACCTATGAATTGGGAGAAAATATTTTCAAATCATATCTGGTAAGGGGTTAATATCTAAAACATGTAAATAACAAATA